>NC_000002.12:31339627-31492377 GCF_000001405.40 Homo sapiens | reverse complement strand
GGATCTAGAACTAGAAATACCATTTGACCCAGCCTTCCCATTACTGGGTATATACCCAAAGGATTATAAATCCTGGTGCTATAAAGATTCATTGATTTTTTAAAGGGTTTTTCAAGTCTCTATCTCCTTCAGTTCTGTTCTGATCTTAGTTATTTCTTGCCTTCTGCTAGCTTTTGAATTTGTTTGCTCTTGCTTCTCTAGTTCTTTTAATTGTGATGTTAGGGTGTCAATTTTAGATCTTCCTACTTTCTCTTGTGGGCATTTAGTGCTATAAATTTCCCTCTACACTCTGCTTTAAATGTGTCCCAGAGATTCTGGTCCATTGTGTCTTTGCTCTCATTGGTTTCAAAGGACATCTTTATTCTGCCTTCATTTCGTTATGTACCCAGTAGTCATTCAGGAGCAGGTTGTTCAGTTTCCATGTAGTTGTGGGGTTTTAAGTGAGTTTCTTAATCCTGAGTTCTAATTTGATTGCACTGTGGTCTGAGAGACAGTTTGTTGTGATTTCTGTTCTTTTACATTTGTTTAGAAGTGTTTTACTTCCAATTATGTGGTCAATTTTAGAATAAGTGCAATGTGGTGCTGAGAAAAATGTATATTCTGTTGATTTGGGATGGAGAGTTCTGTAGATGTCTATCAGGTCTGCTTGATACAGAGCTGAGTTCAAGTCCTGGATATCCTTGTTGACCTTCTGTCTCGTTGATTTGTCTAATATTGACAGTGTGGTGTTAAAGTCTCCCATTATTATTGTGTGGGAGTCTAAGTCTCTTTGTAGGTCTCTAAGGACTTGCTTTATGAATCTGGGTGCTCCTATATTGGGTGCATATATATTTAGGATAGTTAGCTCTTCTTGTTGAATTGATCCCTTTACCATTATGTAGTGACCTTCTTTGTCTCTTTTGATCTTTGTTGGTTTGAAGTCTGTTTTATCAGAGACTAGGATTGCAACCCCTACTTTTTTTTTTGCTTTCCATTTGCTTGGTAGATCTTCCTCCATCCCTTTATTTTGAGCCTGTGTGTGTCTTTGCATGTGAGATGGGTCTCCTGAATACAGCACATCGATGGTTCTTGACTCCTTATCCAATTTGCCAGTCTGTGTCTTTTAATTGGAGCATTTAGCCCATTTATATTTAAGGTTAATATTTTTATGTTTGAATTTGATCCTGTCATTATGATGTTAGCTGGTTATTTTGCCTGTTAATTGATGCAGTTTCTTCATAGCGTTGATGGTCTTTACAATTTAGCATGTTTTTGAAGTGGCTGGTACCGGTTGCTCCTTTCCATGTTTAGTGCCTCCTTCAGGAGCTCTTGTAAGGCAGGCCTGGTGGTGACAAAATGTCTCAGCATTTGCTTGTCTGTAAAGGATTTTTATTTCTCCTTCACTTATGAAGCTTAGTTTGGCTGGATATGAGATTCTGGGTTGAAAATTCTTTTCTTTAAGAATGTTGAATATTGGCCCCCACTCTCTTCTGGCTTGTAGGGTTTCTGCTGAGGGATCCGCTGTTAGTCTGATGGGCTTCCCTTTGTGGGTAACCTGAGCTTTCTCTCTGGCTGCCCTTAACACTTTTTTCCCTTCATTTCAACCTTGGTGAATCTAACAATTATATGTCTTGGGGTTGCTCTTCTCGAGGAGTATCTTTGTGGTGTTCTATGTATTTCCTGAATTTGAATGTTGGTCTGCCTTGCTATGTTAGGGAAGTTCTCCTGGATAATATCCTGAAGAGTGTTTTCTAACTTGGTTCCATTCTCCTCATCACTTTCCAGTACACCAATCAAACATATATTTGGTCTTTTCACATAGTCCCATATTTCTTGGAGGCTTTGTTCATTTCTTTTACTCTTTTTTTTTTCTATTCTTGTTTTCTCACTTTATTTCATTAATTTGATCTTCAATCACTGATATCCTTTCTTCCACTTGATCAAATCGGCTATTGAAGCTTGTGTATGTGTTACGAAGTCCTTGTGCTGTGGTTTTCAGCTCCATCAGGTAATTTAAGGTCTTCTCTACACTGTTTATTCTAGTTAGCCATTTGTCTAACCTTTTGTCAAGGTTTTTAGCTTCCTTGCGATGGGTTAGAATATGCTCCTTTATCTCGGAGAAGTTTGTTATTACTGACCTTCTGAAACCTACTTCTGTCAACTTGTCAAACTCAATCTCCATTCAGTTTTGTTCCCTTGCTGGTAAGGAGCTGCGATCCTTTGTAGGAGAAGAGACTCTCTGGTTTTTGGAATTTTCAGCTTTTCTGCTCTGGTTTCTCCCCATCTTTGTGGTTTTATCTACCTTTGGTCTTTGATATTGGTGACCTACAGATGGGGTTTTGCTGTGGATGTCCTTTCTGTTGATGTTGATGCTATTCCTTTCTGTTTGTTAGTTTTCCTTCTAACAGTCAGGCCCCTCTGCTGCAGGTCTGTTGGAGTTTGCTGGAGGTCCACTCTAGAACCTGTTTGCCTAGGTATCACCAGTGGAGGCTGCAGAAAAGCAAATATTGCTGCTTGATCCTTCCTCTGGAAGCTTCATCCCAGAGGGCCACCCATCTGTTTGAGGTGTCTGTTGGCCCCTACTGGGAAGTATCTCCCAGGCAGGCTACATGGGGGTCATGGTCCAGCTTGAGGAGCCAATCTGACTGTTCTCAGAGCTTGAATGCCATGCTGAGAGAACCACTGCTGTCTTCAGAGCTGTCACACAGGGATGTTTAAGTCTGCAGAAGCTGTCTGCTGCCTTTTGTTCTGCTATGCCCTGCCCCCGGAGGTGGAATCTAGAGAGGCAGTAGGCCTTGCTGTGCTGCAGTGAGCTCCTCCCAGTTTCAGCTTCCAGGATGCTTTGTTTACACTGTGAGCTACTCAAGCCTCAGCAATGGCTGATGCCCCTCCCCCTGCCAAGCTGCAGCATCACAGGTTGATCTCAGACTACTGTATTAGCAGTAAGCAAGCTCTGTGGGTGTGGGACCTGCCCGGCCAGGCATGGGAGGGTATCTCCTGGTCTGCCGGTTGCTAAGACTGTGGGAATAGCACAGTATTTGGTCAGGAGTGTATTGTTTCTCCAGTTATAGTCTGTCCCAGCTTCCCTTGGCTAGGAAGGGGAAATCCCTCCACCCCTTGTGCTTCCTGGGTGAGGAGATGCCCCCCCTGCTTCAGCTTGCCCTCCATGGGCTGCACCCAGTGTCCAACCAGTCTGAGTGAGATGAACCAGGTACCTTAGTTGGAAATGCAGAAATCACCCATCTTCTGTGTTGATCTCACTGGGAGCTGCAGACTGGAGCTGTTCCTATTCGGCCATCTTGCAAAAATATGTATATTTTTTAACAATAAAGGAGACATAGTTACAAATAAAAAAGTAATATGACAAATAACAAAACTTTTATGCCAATAAATATGAAAAATTTTAAATAAAAAATCAAAATTGTCTCAAAAAGAAAGATTTAAAAATGAATAATAGGGGCCAAGTGTGGTGGCTCGCACCTGTAATCCCAGCACTTTGGGAGGCCAGCGTGGGCAGATCATGAGGTCAGGAGTTCGAGATCAGCCTGGCCAATATGGTGAAACCCTGTCTCTACTAAAAATACAAAAATTAGCCAGACATGATGGCAAGCAGGTGTAGTTGCAGCTAGTTGGGAGGCTGAGGCAGAAAAATCGTTTGAATCTGGGAGGCGGAGGTTGCAGTGAGCTGAGATCGTGCCACTGCACTCCAGCCTGGGCAACAGAGCGAGACTACGTCTCAAAAAAAAAAAATGAATAATAGGTCGGGAGCGATGGCTCATGCTTGTAATCCTAGCACTTTGGGAGGCCAAGGTGGGTGGATCACTTGAGGTCAGGAGTTTGAAACCAGCCTGGCCAGCGTTGTGAAACCCCATCTCTACTAAAAATACAAACAAATTAGTCAGGCATGGTGATGTGCACCTGTAATCCCAGCTACTTGGAGGCTGAGGCAGGAGAATTGCTTGAACTCAGGAGGCAGAGGTTGCAGTGAGCTGAGATAGTGCCACTGCACTCCAGCCTGGACAACAAAGCAAGACTCTGTCTCAATAAATAAATAAATAAATAAAAATAAAAATGAAAAAAAATAAAAATGGTGTGGAGTAGGTATAAATGATGAAACTGAGGCCCAGAATGATTAATATAGTTACATTGTTTATAATGGCCAAAGCTGAAACACTAACAATGACCATTATTTAAATTAATTGCTAGTTAAAATCTCCACACCCAAAAGATATCCTACCCAGAATGATTTACAGGCAAGTTTTACTGAACTTCCAAGGGACAGATGATTTCTATCTTATGTACATTTTTTTAAATGAAATGCTACATGGCTTATTTTATGAGGCTGGAATAACCTTGATATTAAAATAGTAAATAGTCAACTTATAGGTATAGACAAAAATCTCAAGATGTTTGCGTACCATATATGCGTAATACTATATACAGTCAAAATCTATTAATGTAATCCTTTACATTAACAGATTAATAGAAATGCTATATGATGGTGTTAAAACATATGTAAAAAGCATTTGAAAATTTTTAATACAGATTAGTGACTAAAAAGAAGCTCTTACTAAACTAGGAATGAAAGGAATTCTCTTAACTTGATGAATAATGTCCTTTAAATACTACATCATGCACCATATTTAATAGCTAAAACTCAGAAGTAAGAAAAGTGTGCTTGTCTTTACAATTTAGTATAGTATTAGTCATAGTAAATTAAGGAGGACAAGAAAATATAAGGTACAGGAACTGAAATAAAAAATACAAAAAGATCTTTATTTTTAGGTGTATTATTGTATACATAGAAAATTCAAAAATATTGAAAGCAAATAAGTGGAAATAAAAAAAGAATCCAGCAAATTTGTTGGTGAAAAGATTTACATACAAAAATTAATAGCCTTTTCTTACACTAGCAGTAATCAACGTGTAGTAGAATGACATGCCATTCACAGTAGCAAGAAAACTGAAAAGATATTTAGGAATAAATTTTATTAAAGATGAAAAATGTACAAGCCCTTTATAGAGAACATTACTAAACATATTGAGGGCCAAATTATTCCTGAATAAATGGAGAGACATACTGTGTTTTTAGATGATAAGACTCAATAATACAAATATGTCAAGTCTGTACATATCCCTTCATAAATTCAGTGCATTTCTGAGAAAAACCCCAGCAGGATATTTCGTGTGACTTTATGAGATGATCCTAAAATTCATATGAAACAAAAAAGGTGAATAAGAGCAAAGATAATTGTGAAGAGTCTAGAGGTATTTTCTAAGCAAAAATACAACTTATTTTGAAGGTATAGATCTTAAGATAAACATACTATTTACTTAGAGAGAAATAATTATGTTGCTGGAACAGAATACAGACACTGAAACAAATAACAAATTCATGATGATGATGAGGAACTCATTTCAAAATGGCAGCTCTTATAAGACATGGGAGAAAAATAGGTACTACAATATATTTTTCTGGGACAACTGACTAATTGTCCATTTGGGAAAAAGCTAGAATAGTAACACTTCCCACAAAAAAGTAAGTTACAGATAGATTAAATTCCTAAATGTGTGAAAGGTGATTTGTAGAAGAAACTATAGAATATAGTCTGCCAGTTGTGCTGGTGCACACCTATAATCCCAGTTACCTGGGAGGTGGAGGCAGTACGATCACTTGAGCACAGCAGTTTGAGACCTGCTTGGACAGCATAGTGAGACTCTGTCTCAAAAATAAAAGAATATATTTATGACTTTGAGATATGAAAGAAGAAGATGGCTTGCTAGGAGCAGCTAGTGTGTGGGCTCTCATGGAGAAGAACGGAAGGGGTGAGGAAATACAGCAACCTCAACTAAAATATCCAGGTACAGGCATTGGAACTAATCAAGGAAACAAGTTCACCCAAGGAGAAGGAAGAAAAGCAAGGCAGGATGATGGCCCACCGGGAGCAGCGTGGAGCCAGGGCAACCTCCCCTACCTAGGGAAGTGGTGAGTGAATGTGCGACCCTGGGAACCCACACTTCTCCCATGGATTTTTGCAATCCTCGGTTCACGAGATCCCCTCGTGAACCCACTCCACCAGGGCCTTCAGTCCCACACATGTAGCTACATGGAGTCTCTGCAGAGCAGCTGCTCAGCCTTAGAGACCTAGGAGCCTTAGAGACCTGGGAGCCTTAGAGACCTGGGCTTTATGGGTTTCCCTGCAAAAACAGATGCACTCTTGCAAAGTGAGTGGTTAGACTCCTTATGTACCCCTAGGAAAGGGGCTGAATCCAGGGGGCTGAGCAGTGACAGTCTGCAGGCCCCACTTCCACGGCACCTCACAGGATTAAGACCCACTGGCTTGTAATTCCTGTCAGCCAGGAGTAACAGTGTTGCACCTCTCTGAGACAGCGCTCTCAGTGGGAGGGGCAGGAGGCCATCTTTGCTGTTTAGGCAACTGAGCTATTCCAGCCTTCAGGCTTTGGAGAGTCCAAGGTGAGCAGGGGGCGGAAGCGGGTACCTCAGCACAGTGCAACTGCTATACGAAAACGGGTCAGACTGCTTAGTTTAAACGGGTCCTCGATCTCCTTCCTTCTCACTAGGCAGAACCTCCCACTGGGGCCTCCAGCCATCCCTGCCGGTGTTTTTTGGCCAACAGAGATTCAGAACCTTCCTGGGACAGTGCTCTCAGAAGGAGGGACAGGCCACCATCCTTGCTGTTTGGGCGACTTAGCCATCCAGACTTCAGGCCTCAGAGAGTCCAAGGCAACTGCAGGCAGAAGCAGTCCCTTCGCACAGCACAGTTGCTCTATGAAAATGTGGCCAGACTTTTTAAAGCAGGCCCCCAATCCCATTCCTCCTCACTGGGCAGGAACTCCCAGCCAGGGTCTCCAGCTACCTCCTACGCCTGTGTTTGAGATGGTAAAAGGTCCATATCTCCCTGGGAGGGAGATCCCAGACGGAGAGGCAGGCTGCTATTTTTACTGCTTTGCAGCCTTCACTGTTGTTACCTTCAGGTACTGGAAAGTCCAAGGTGACTAGGGACTGGAGCAGGGCCCCAGCATATTGCAGAAGTTCTATGGAAAAGTGGCCAGGCTGTTACATGGGTGCCCATTCCCATATCTCCTCACCAAGCAGGTCCTCCAGGCCTGGGCCTCTAGCCACCTCTAACCAGAGCTATTGAGCCAGTAGCAGCTTGGAAACTCCCTGGACACAGCCCCCAGGGGGCATCTGAAAGTCTCTTTGCCACTGCCTCTGCAGTGTAGCTGCCTTGCTACCCTCAGACTAACGAAGAAGCAAATACCTTAAGTGCCTTATCCACACCTCCAACAAACTGCAGTCAACCCAAGGAGAGGAGGCAAGTCCATGCCCCATGGGTCTCACCCCTACTGCTTGTCTCCAGACAGGGAACTCTTAGCTTGGGCCCACAGCACAGACCCTCCATCCTGGCTGATTGCACTGAGCAATTGCTGAACTGCATTTCCTTGGGGTGGAGCCCCCAGGAGACAAGCAAATGACCCTTGGCCACAACCATTACTAAGGTCGCTTCCTCTGCTGCCTACAAGTTAGGGAAGGAACATGAACACTGAGTTTGTTCCAGAGTGGCTGTGGGCAGCCCAGGAGCACCAAGCTGCAATCTACAGCCAGCACTCAAGGGGGAGAGGAAACCACACTTTCAGAGCATTGAGAGGAAACATGGCTGCAACTGTGAGAAAACACGGGTGGAAGGATGGGCACACAACCAAGCAAGAGTCCACCAACTGACTAATACACCTAAGTGCCACCTACTGGATCACATCCCAAAGCTTCAACACCAAAAATACCTTGCTACCATACCCTGCGGTTTCATGTCTAAAACCGAAGACAGAAAGTCAGCTTCAAATAAAGATCCTGCACAAAGCCTTGGCCCTGAGAAAATAACCAGAAAACAAGTCTATTGACTGTACTCAGTCTACGTGCAGTTAAAAAACCATCCACACAGAGAGATGAGAAAGAACCAATGCAAGTACTCTGGTAACTCAAATGGCCAGAGTGTCATACATCTTCCAAATGATTGCACCAGTTTTTCAATAAGAGTTCTTACCCAGGCTGAACTGGCTGAAATGACAGAAATAGAATTCAGAATATGGATAGGAGTGAAGATCATCAAGATTCAGGAAGATGGCAAAACCCAATTCAAAGAAACTAAGAATTGCAATAGAACAATACAGGAGCTGAAGGACAAAATAGCCGATATAAAAAAGACCCTAATTAATCTGACAGAGCTGAATAACACAAGAATTTTTCAATGCAATCACAAGTACTAACAGTAGAATAAACCAAGTTGAGGAAAGAATCTCAGAACTTGAAGACTGGCTTACTGAAATAAGACAGCCACACAAATATAAAGAAAAAGGATTAAAAAGGAATGAACAAAACCTCTGAGAAGTATGGATTAGGTAAACAGGCCAAATCTATGAATCACTGGCAACCTTGAAAGGGTGAGGGGAGAAAGAAAACAACTTGAAAAACATATTTCAGGATACCATCCATGAAAACTTCCCCAACCTTGCCACAGAGGCTAACAGTCAAATTCAGAAAATACAGAGAACTTCTGTAAGATTTTATACAAGAAGATCATCTGCAATACACATAACTGTTAGATTTTCCAGGGTTGAAATAAGGGAAAGAATATTAAAGGGAGCTAGAGAGAAAGGGCAGGTCACCTGCAAAGGGAACTCCATCAGGCTAATAGCAGACCTCTCAGCTGAAACCCTATAAGTCAGAAGAGATTGGAAGCTTATATTCAACATTCCTAAAGAAAAAAAATCTTCAACCAAGAATTTGGTTGAAGCCTAACTAAGCTACCTAAACAAAGGACAAATAAGATTCTTTTCAGATAAACAAATATTGAGGGAGTTCGTTACCACCAGACCTGCCTTACAAGAGATTTTGAAAGGAGTGCTAAATATAGAAAGGAATTATTGCTACCAGCTAATAAAGAACACATGTAAACATGCAGACCAGTGACACTGTAAAGCAACCACACAAACAAACCAACATAATAACCAACTAACAACACAATTACAGGATAAAATGAACACATACCTATACTAATCTTGAATGTAAATAGGCTAAATGCCCCACTTAAAAGGCATGGAGTGGTAAGCCGAATAAAAAGAAAGACCCAATGGTATCCTGTCTTCAAGAGACCCATCTCATATGTAATGACACCCCTAGGCCCACAATAAAGGGATGGAGGAAAATGTACCAAGCAAATGGGAAACAGAAAAAAAGCAGGGGTCACAATCCTAATTTCAGACAAAACAGACTTCAAACCAACAAAGATCAAAAAAGACAAAGAAAGGCATTACATAGTGGTAAAGGGTGCAATTCAACAAGAAGACCTAGCTATCCTAAGTATATATGCACCCAAAACAGGAGCACCCAGATTCATAAAGCAAGTTCTTAGAGACCTACAAAGAGACATGGTCTCCCACACAGTAATAGTGGGAGACTTCAACACTCCACCAACAGTATGTGACAAATCATCAAGGCAGAAAAGTAATAAAGATATTTAAGACCTGAACTCAACATTGGTCCAAATGGATCTGATAGACCTCTACAGAACTCTTCACCCAAAAACAACAGAATATACATTCTTCTCATCACCACATGGCACATGCTTTAAAATCCACCACGTAATTGGACATAACCCAATCCGCAGCAAATCCAAAAGAACCAAATCATACCANACATACTCTCAGACCATAGCATGATAAAAACAGAAGTCAAGACTGAAAAAATTGCTCAAAATCATGCAATTACATAGAAATTAAACAACATGCTCCTGAATGACTTTTGGGTAAATGACAAAATTAAGGCAGAAACCAAGAAACTAATGAGAACAAGGATACAACATACCAGAATCTAGGGGACACAGTTAAGGCAGTGTCAAGAGGGAAATTCATACTAAAATACACACTAAATGCCCATATCAAAAAGTTAGGAAGTTCTCAAACTAACAACTTACATCACAACTGAAAGAATTAGAGAAGCAAGAACAAATCAACCACAAAGATAGGAGAAGAAAAGAAATAACCAAAATCAGAGCTAAACTAAGGAAACAGATAAAAAAATTTCAAAACATTTAAAATAAAACCAGGAGTATGTTTTTTTTTTTTTAAAAAAAATAAAATAGGCTGCTAGCTAGACTAATAAAGAAGAAAAGAGAGAATGATCCAAATAAACACGATTAAATATAATGTAGGGAATGTTGTCAGTAAGCACACAGAAATAAAAATAACCATCAGAAACCACTATGAATACCTCTTTGCACACAAACTAGAAAACCTAGAAGAGATGGATAAATTCCTGGACATATACATCCTCCCAAGACTGCGTCAGGAAGAAATTGATTCCCTGAAGAGACCAATAATGAGCTTCAGAATTGAATCAGTAATAAATAGCCCACTAACCAACAAAAGTCCAGGACCTGGTGGATTCACAGCTGAATTCTACCAGATGTACAAAGAAGAGCTGTTATCATTCCTACTGAAACTATACCAAAAAATAGAGGAGGAGGGCCTTCTCTCCAACTCATTCTATGAGGCAGTCACCATCCTGGTACTAAAATTTGGCAGGGACACAACAAAAAAAGAAAAATTCAGGCCAATATCCTTGATGAACATGAATGCAAAAACTCTCAACAAAATATTGGGAAACTGAATCCAGCAGCACATCAAAAAGCTAATCCACCATGATCAAGTAGGCTTCATCCCCTGGATGCAAGGTTGGTTCAACATATGCAAATCAATAAATGTGACTCATGACATAAACAGAACTAAAGACAAAAACCACGTTGATTATCTCAATAGACACAGAAAAGGCTTTCAATAAAATTCTACATCCCTTTATGTTAAGAACTCTCAATAAAAGAAGCATTAAAGGAACATGTCTTAAAATAATAAGAGCCATCTATGATAAACTCATAGCCAACATCATACTAAATGGGCAAATGCTGGAAGCATTCCCCATGAAAATTGGCATAAGACAAGGATGCCAACTCTCACCACTCCTATTCAACATAGTATTGGAAGTTCTGGCCAGAGGAATCAGGCAAGAGAAGCAAATAAATGGCATACAAATACGAAGAGAGGAAATTAAACTATCTTTGTTTGGAGATGACATGATTCTATATCTGGAAAATCTCATAGTCTCTGCCCAAAAGCTGCTTCAGCTGATAAACAACTTCGGCAAAGTTTCAGGACACAAAATCAATGTACAAAAATTACTAGCATTCCTATACACCAACAATAGTCAAGCCAAGAGTCAAATCAGGAAGGAAATCTCATTCACAATTGCCACACACACAAAAAATGCCCAGGAATACAGCTAACCAGGGAGGTGAAAGAGCTCTACAATGAGAATTACAAAACACCACTGAAAGAAATCAGAGAAGACACAAATAAATGACAAATTTTCCATGCTCATGAATAGGAATAATTAATATCATGAAAATGGCCATGCTGCCCAAAGCAATTTACAGATTGAATGTTATCATCAAACTACAATGACATTCTTCACAGAACTAGAAAAAACTATTTTAAAATTCTTATGGGACCAAAAAAGAGTCTGAATAGCCAAGGAAATCGTAAGCAAAAAGGACAAAACTGGAGGCATCATGTTACCCAACTTCAAACTACACTACAGGGATCCCATAACCAAAGCAATGTGGTACTGGTACAAAAAACGGCACATAGACCAGTGGAACAGAATAGAGAGACCAGAAATAAGGCTAGACACCTATGACCACCTGATCTTCGACAAAGCTGACAAAAACAAGCAATGGGGAAAAGACTCCCTATTCAATAAATGGTGCTGGGATAAGTGGCTAGCCAGATGCGGAAGATTGAAGCTGGACCTCTTTTTTACATCATACACAAAAATCAACTGAAGATGGATTAAAGATATAAATGTAAAACCCAAAACTATGAAAACTCTGGAAGACAACCTAGGCAATACCATCTTGGACATAAGAATGGGTAAACATCTCATGACAGAGCCATCAAATCTATCACAACAAAAGCAAAGATTGATGTGTGGGATCTAATTAAACTAAAGAGCTTCTGCATAGCAAAAGAAACTATAAGCAGAATAAACAAACATCCTACAGAATGGGATAAAATATTTGCAAACTATGCATCTGACAAAGGTCCAATATTCAATATCTGTAAGGAACTTAAATTTATAAGAGGAAAACAAACAACCCCATTAAAAAGTGGGCAAAGGATATGAGCAGACACTTTTCAAAAGAAGACAAACATGCAGCCAACAAGCATATGAAAAAAATACTAACATCACTAGTCATTAGAGATTTGCAAATCAAAACCACAATGAGATACCATCTCGCACCAGTCAGAATGGCTATTACCAAAAAGTAAAAACAAAACAAAACATATACTGGCCAGGTTGCAGAGAAAAGGCAACACTTATACACTTGCTGGGAGTGTAAATTAGTTCAACCATTGTGGAAAGCAGTATAGCAATTCCTCAAAGAGCCAAAAGCAGAACTAGTATTCGACTCAGCAATCCCATTACTGGGTACATATTCAGAGGAATAAATCATTCTACATGCACATGAATGTATATTGCAGCACTATTTACAGTAACAAAGACATAGAATCATCTAAATGCCCACCAATGACAGACTGGATACAGATAATGTGGTACATATACACCATGGAATACTCTGCACCATAAAAAAATGAAATCATGTCTTTTCTGGGAACATGGGTGGAGCTAAAGGCCATTATTCTTAGCAAACTAATGCAGGAAGAGAAAACCAAATACTGCATGTTTTCACTTACAAGTGGGAGCTAAATGATGAGGACCCATGAACACAAAGAAGGGAACAACAGACACTGGGATCTAATTGAGAGTGAAGGATGGCAGGAGGAAGATGAGTAGAAAAGATAACTATTGGGTACTGAGCTTAATACCTGGTTGATGAAATAATCTGTACCACAAACCCCCATGACATGAAATTACCTATATAACAAACGTTCACATGTACCTAAAATAAAAGGCTTTTAAATAAAGAGATATGCAAGAATTTCTTTCAAGAATCACTAAGAATTGACAAGAAAGGATATCATTGATAACACTATCTTTAAAGAAATAAAGCTTCTGTTGAAAAAAGAATACTGTAGAGAAGGTAAATGTAAGCCATAGTCTGAAAGGACCTATTTGCAATACATATGTCCAAAACTCCTACAAAATGATAATTCCAAAATGGCAAAGAACTTGAATAGGCAATTCATGGAATAGGAATACTGAATGTACAATTATTATGGGATGAAAGGCTCAATCTAGCTGTTTTTTTTTGAGACGCATTTTGGGAGCAAAAATGGTAAATCATCAGACTTTGTTAAAGCTGTCGATGTGTATGTAGATACACAGCTTGTGTTATTCCCTATAGTTTTCTCTAAGTTAAAAATAGTTCATCATAAAAAGTAAATGAGAAAACTACATTTATGAGACAGTTTTTTAAAAAGACTGAGTTTCAAAGGCTCCGTAAATATACTGCAATCTAATAAAAGTACCGGGAAGGTGTTCTACTCATATCCATGAGCTACAAATACAGTCTGGTATAGTGGCAAAGGCTGAAGCTTTGAAGTAAGATATCAAAGATTCAAATCCTAACTGAGCTGCTTTTTAGCTGTGTAACTTTGAGCAAATAACTCAACATCATTAGATTTTATATTTGTAAAATAAGGATCACAATATTTGCCTTATGGTGTTGGGATGAGGGTCGAAGTGACATTGTAGACGCCAAGTGTGTGGTAGAGTTGGCACTTCATAACAGTAGGCTTGTGTTCATTAGTACAGGTTTTCCTTCCCTTCCTTTTATACCTCAGGACTTCTAGGTACTCTGTGCTTTTCTCCCCTACTTCAAAGCTAAAAGATGAGATCTGTCTGAATAAGAACAAAATTATAAACACAAGTAATTGTTTCTGAGAAAAGTGAAAGGCTACCAACATAATGAATATACATGTTTCACAGGATGAAATTTAACCAAAGCTTTTTTGTGTTATGGTATGAACACTTGCCCAGCCACAGGGGTCTCTGAAACCGGGAACTGAAACTGCAGACATACTGGATCTTCATAATTAGAGTGCCTTAAACCAGTTCTCAATCATGACAGCTAACTGTCAGAAAATAATTTTTAATACTATTGAAAATAATCTTCAGTGCAATTGTTTAGTCCCAAGTGTTCCCTACAGATATGAAAAAATGAAGTAACATATTCCTAAGGTATACAGCATTTTACTTACTTGAGTGCTTCAAGGACAGGCAAAACTGCCAGAGTGTCTTTCTCCATTGATCAGCTCAGAAATCCGTCTATACAAACAGTTATTCGTCCTTCCAACCAATCAAAAGGGAAGGCAGAAGTTCAAGGAGAACCTACTATCCATCAGGTACTACATCAAATGCATTTTATATACGATGTCTCAGACAGAGTATTATATGCTAGGTGCTATGCCAAGTATTAAGAATACTGAGGTCAATGTAACTTGGCCTCTGAGTCAGAGGTGTTGATAGAGCAACTGGGGCATTATTATAAGAAGATAAGTGACTTAAAAAAAAAGGCACAACACAAAAAATAAGAGGCACAAAGAAAACACTACAGGAATCAGAGAAAAGAGATGTCAAAACCAGCAGGCAGCATTAGGAAACAAAGAATGAAGTGTGTGAGCTCTGAACTGGTTACAATTTGACCATGCAGAGCCTAGCATACCAGGTGGAGGAAAACATTAAGCAAAAGCATGAAAAGATTCAAAGCTCAGGCTGGGAGGGAATTATCCTAAAATCCGAATTGATGGCATTGGAATCATGGGCCCATAACTTTTACTGAAGGACTTAATTGTAGTTCCCATAGGGTCCTTCCACCTTCAGTAGCAAACCACCCCAGAACAGCGTGTCTCTTATGCTCTTAGACCATAAGAAATTCTAGCTTTGATCAGATGAAATTAAATGCCTAAAACATAACCAAAGTGTCCATATTGTGAGTTCATTCCTGTCTTACAGTTTGATATCCAAGGCCCCTGGTTGGACAGTTAGGAGCACCTAAGAGTTCTTCAAACTTGAAAAGACTAGGCAACTTAGAGATAGCTTGCTTACAGAATGACCTAGAGCCAGCAAGAGATAGAGTTATAAATGCTGGAGCCATTAGGGTTTCACTTCTTCCCCTCCTACTGTTCCAGTAACCTGCACCACTCCATCCCCTTCCTCATCACTGTGATGGCATCAGCATCAAGATACCCACAGGATCTTTATCTTCAAACCCTGTTATCTATTGGCTTTTTCCTCTCAAAATAAAAATATGGTTCCCATTAAAGAACAAAAACAATCAAACTCTTTCCCCGGTGCCAAATCCTTGCTATTTTTGTCATTACTCATAAATTCCTCACAGTCAAGATTTATGAAAGAATTCTACATTTCCTTTTCCAATTTCCTCTTTTCTAAATCACTATTTAGCCCAATGTGTCCTGGATTCCACCCCATTGCTCTACTGAAATGGCTGTTGCTGTATTAGGTGTCTATTGCTATGTAACTAATTACCTCTAATACTTAGCAATTTACAATAACAAACATTTTCTGGGGATCAGAAATTTGGGAGAGACTCAGCTGGGTGGTGCTGGCTCAGGGTTTCTCACAAGCTTGCAATAAAGCTGCCAGTTGGAACTACAACCATCTCAAAGTTCAAGTGGGGCTAGAGAACCACTTCGTCTGGAAAACCATGTTCCCTCACCTGATCACTCCTCCTTAACCCCTTCTTCTATTTTGGTGTCCCATTTTTCTCTCTCTTGGTTTGCCTTCTACTTCTTGGACTATTAATTCTCAGTCTCCACTTCTCTTCCTATTTCCCTCCCAAATATTGGTGTGACCCCCCAGGAAAATGTCCTTGAGTTACTCATTTTCTCTCTAAAACTTGGTGGCCCCAAGGCGAATTCATACTCCCTTTTTGATGTTTTGTGATCCTGTGTTGACCATGTCAGTGACTGGTATGGGACCACAGCTGCTCCCCAACTTTGGGGTCTCAGGGGCATGCTTAGCTTTTTTGTTATTCTCACAGACTGTGTAGTAAGGTGTGCCTTAGAGTTAACATGCTGATTTTTTAAATGTTGCAGAATTATTCATTACATATACCAAAAATATAGATACATGTTGTGATAGTATAGAAAGTGTGGACTTTACATTTCTCCAAATCAGCCTCTAAGTACAGGAAAACAAAGTCAAGTTCCCCGTGATTGAAGACTGGTTCCTTTTAGTATCTCTGGTAGCTCTCTGTGTCCCCTGCTGTTGTTAATTACCAAAGTGGAAAATAAGCTGTCTGATTAGTTTGTACTTACACAGTGTTTAGAAAGAGAGCTTAGTTAGAAAATATTAGTTCAAGGACCATGGAAAAACCCCATGGGTGCTCAATTATTGAGTCACCCACATATGCACAGTGATTTTTGCTCTCTTGGTCCAGCTCATTTGTTTGAGTCAGATGAGTTGTTGCTGAATAAAGCTCTTCAGGTCATTAGTTTTGATAGGAACTATGTGTCACTGTTCTACACTACAGACTTATTCTAGTGGGAGTGCAGTCAAGCCCTGAGAAAACTGAGCAGTCATTCATCTTTCTTGGAGATTCATCACGTTCCTGAGCTGTGCCTGCAGGGAAGAAATGGTGCCAGGCTTTAGAAACATTGATTATGGTTTGGCAGTCTCAGCCTTTCCTATAACAGGGACCCCAAGGCTACACAATCTGAGCCTGAACAAAACAGAAAACTGTGTTTTTGAAAACCCCAAACAAAAAAGTACTATATTTTTAAATCAGGGAATGAATAACATGTAGGAATAGATTATAAAAGAAGAAAACTGCTATTAAAGGGTAGATGATCTGTTTAATCTCTCATTTCCCTTATAACATTTTATAGGTGTAATCAGGATTCCACCTTGATAAAACTAGGATGCAAATCACCCCAGCAACCATGTCTGCTTGCAACTTTCTGGTTGTAGTTACAATCATATTTTCTAGATACAAAGGTCTCCAGGAACCTAATATCTTCAGGTCTTCATTCCCTTACCAAAGTTTACCTACTGCTCCCCAGTTTCCTATCATAAAATGAGGAGCACATTTTAAGAATAGATTTCTTTTAAAAGGTCCACATATAGTATTTTTTTCTCTTCTCCACTGTACTAAGCCATATTACAGAAATAAATATATGGTGTGAGCCAAATACATTTCTATTTCAACAAAATAGAGTTTCTCTGCAGGCACTGAAATTTAAGTATCTTATCTAATGAAATCAGCTCCACACTGAATTCCCCTCTCTGAGCCACCGATTTTAGAGATCTCATTTCTTTTAGCAACAGAAGAAATTGGTCACCTTATATTAACTTAGGCTGGACAGGTAGGGGAATACCAACTAGGTCTCCTCAACTCAAGAGAAGCCAAAGAATCAAGCTGGCCTCAAATAGCACAGTTTGCTGCTTTAACCTGAGAGTCTCCATTCACATCATTAAAAGTAAGGTTTGAGAGTCTCTAAACAACTTGGGCATGTACTTCAATTTTCACTTTATTTGGACAAGGTCTCCTTTGTGTGAATGTACACAAAGTTGACTCTGAAGAAATGGGGAATAAAATAAGAAGAAAGAAAAAGTAAATAAATATTAGGGGAAGGGAGTAGGGAAGGAAACAAGAAAGTATTTATGGAGAACTGACTATAATCACATATTTGTATATCTTATCATATTTCATGCCATAAAGTTTGAGAATTATGACCAATTCAGGGGTCTGTTGAGAAACTGGTGCAAGGGAGGTGTGGGGTTCAAAGGCTAAGAAGATGAAAGGCTAAGAAATTTCTGTTTAAAAGTCTGATAATCAAATCTGGGGCCCAAGGAGTTCTGCAAACCTCCTGAAGGCCAAGGCTTATGCTTTGATAATTTTGAAGAGTTTAGAAGCCTTGTTTTTTTGTTCCTTGCTTTAGCCAGATGTCAATGGTGAGTGATGGAGAAGGCAATATGTTCTATACAGTAAGGAGGGGGAGTGGAAAGATACCAGACATGACCCGACTTTTGTTTTGAAAGAATGCCTTTCCTTGTCATGTGGACAATAGAAAACCAGGGCTCAAATGTAAAACTAAGGAAATCAGCCAGAGAGCTAGGGCTGTGGTAGTTGAGGCAGGGTGGTGGCAAGTACAAGGGTGGTAGTGATGGAGAGCATAAAAAGTGGTTAGGTTTAGATTATGTTTTAAGGTAGAGCTAATATTATTGCTGATGGGTTGGGTGTTATATGTGAGAAAAAGAGAGAAGTCAAAGATTATGTCAAGACTTTTTTTGGCCTGAGCAATTGATTGAAAGACTATCAATTTACTGTTATGGAGGAATATCAGAGGAGGGAATCTTTTGAAAAAGTAGAAGAGAAACAAGTTCAGTCTGAAGTAGAATAACTTTGATATAGTTATTTGAGTAAAACATTTGGGAAGACAGTTGGATCTACAAGTCTTAGAGATACTATATACGAGTTGGATATCATGAGCAGAGGTAAATATACAGAAATGTATGGCATTGAAATCCATGAAATTGGGTGATATCTCTATGGGTATGAGTGTAGAGAGAGAAGAGAAGAGGTTCATGGACCCAGGCCACTCTAGCTTTTGTGTTAAGAATTGCTCCTCCTGTACCCTGTATCTTATTCATCAACAAATCCCTCTGCTAACCACCTCCTCAGCTATCACCCGCTTCCAGCCACCACGACCATTTACCTTGATGATTGCAGTAAGCTTCTAACTGCTCTGACCCTTGGCCCCTTTACAGCCCATTCTTAGCATAAAACCCATAGTGGTTCTTTAAAAATGTAAGTCAGATCACATCACTGTTGTTAAAACCTCCAATGTCTTCCCTTGTCACTCAGCTTAAAAGAAAAGAAATCCTTACAATGGCTTATAAGTAGAGTGGTTATGTCTTGACTGGTCTGGGATAATTTGTTTTATGCCTGTTGTCCCAGTATAAGTATTAGTAGTACCACCTCCTTCATTCTCTTTCTCAAAATGTTTTGGTTTGTATGGCAAGTTATATTGTCACTCAAGTTACAAGGTCTTTCGTGGTCTGGTCCCCCAACTATCTCTCTGATTTAATCTCTTACTACTATTCCTCATCCATTCCATTCCAGGTACACTAGTTTGAGTCTTCTGGATTTCTTAAACTAATAAGGCTGATTCCACCTCAGTGGTTTGCAACTGCTAGCCCCTCTGCTGGCAATGCTCTAGTTTTGTGCCTTGCTCAGCTTGCTCCTTTGTTCTTCAGGTTTCTGCTCAAATGTAATGTTTTTGGGAAAGCTTCTGTGCCAGACACTCCCTGTTGGTGCTCAGATGCATGGCTGCCCTTCTATGTTCTCTCCTGTGTTGCAGGGGCTGCAAGTCAGATTCTGTTGCCAGTAGACTTGCAGCAACATTCCGCCAAGGGAGACACTCATGCAAGATTACAAGCAAGGAGAAAGAAGCTACCCCATTTTTGGCAGTGATGGCGTCTCCAGCAGAGTCACTCGTGGTGGCCATGGAGGTGGCTCCAGAATGCCATGGGCTGTGATCTCACTTATGATAGCACTGACTGTTGGCTCCCATGCACCTTGGTGGCATTAATAGAGGTAATAGTTTCCTGTAGAGAGAGCACAGCAGCATGGAGAGAGAGAGAAGCCTGGACTCTAGTGAGTGTGGATTCCAGGGGCCTTTGAATGGCTGTGCAGACTCCTGTGGAGATGGAACTCAGACCAGCACAGTCTCCTGTAAGAAAGAGTGAGTTGTGAAGCAGATTTCTGTGGCCTCCTTCAGGGGTTATAGACTAAATTGTGTCCCCCAAAGTTCACATATTGAGGTGTAACCCCTGCTATGTCAGAATGTGACTGTATTTGGAGACAGAGTCTTTAAAGAGGTGATTAAGTTAAAACGAGGTCACTAGAGTGGGCCCTACCTCAGTATGACTGATGTCTTTATAAGAAGAGAAAATTTGGACACAGATGTATACAGAAGGAAGACCAAGAGAAGATACAAGGAAAAGATGGCTCTGATGGTTAATTTCATGTGTCACCTTGACTGGATCATGGGGTGCCCAGATATTTGGTTAAATATTATTCTAGGTGTGTCTGCAAAGGTGTTTCTGGATGAAATTAACATTTGAATCAGTAGACTGAGTAAAGCAGATTTCCCTGCCCAGTGTAGGTGGCCTTATGCAATCCACTGAAGGCCTGAGTAGAGCAAAAGGTGGAGTAAAGGAGAATCCACTCTTGGCTTGACTGTCTTTGAGCCGGGACATCAGTCTTCTCCTGCCTTCAGACATAGACGTGGGCTGGAACTAACACAGTTGCATAAGTTCTCGGACCTTTGGACTTGGACTGGAACAAGACCGTCTGCTTTTCTGGGTCTCTAGCTTGCTGACTGAAGATCTTAGGGCTTCTCAGCCTCCACAGCCACATGAGCCTATTCTTTGTAATCTCTGTTTTTCTCTCTCTATTAAACTTTTCATCCATCCCATTGGTTCTGTTTCCCTGGAGAACTCAGACTGATACAAAGACCATCTACAAGTCAAGGAGACCGACCTTAGGAGAAACCAACCGTTGATCTCAGACTTCTGGCTATCAGGACTGTGAGAAAATAAATTTCTATTGTTTAAGCCACCCAGTCTGTAGAGCTTTGTTATGGCAGCCTTAGAAAACCAACACAGGTGGCAGTGGCTTCTTGCAGCACTTGATCTCTGGGTGGTGGTACTTCTCTTTCCTTCTTTCCATTTTGTTTCTCTAGTCTTTTTTTACACTTTAAAATAATATCCATGGTATTAAATTCCTTTGTGCTTAAAATACCTAAGATGGTTTTCTTTTCCTGCCTAAACCCTGACTGATACAGTACTAGCTACCAAGGATGATAGCACATAATGTTGGATCAAACTGCATTTATTGAAATGGATTCCATTGCTAGAACTTTTGAAATCTATGCATTATTTTGAGTGGCTGAAGTGGTTACTGTCAGTTTGTTTGTTTAGTTGACTGAAACCTGGAGTTGACTGTAGCCTAATTCCATGAAGTTAAGGTGCCATAACTTTTCTGGTACAATGGAAAGGAAAGAATCCAAAGGCTTAGGGAGAAGAATGTTGAAATAAATTTCTCAAGTGAAATTTCCTTCATTGTGTCTGCAAGAAGGCCTAGAGTATTAAGAAATGCAGGCCGGGTGCAGTGGCTCACACCTGTAATCCCAGCACTTTGGGAGGCCGAGGCAGGTGGATCACCTGAGGCCAGGAGTTTGAGACCAGCCTGGCCAACATGGAGAAACTCCATCTCTACTAAAAATACAAAAATTAGCTGAGTGTGGTGGTGTGTACCTGTAATCCCCACTACTCAGGAGCCTAAGGCAGTATAATCATTTGAACCCAGGAGGCAGAAGTTGCAGTGAGCCAAGATAGCACCACTGCACTCCAGCCTGGGCAACAGAGCAAGACTCTGTCCAAAAAAAAAAAAAAAAAAGGAAAGAAAAAGAAATGCATTGACAAGAGAAGCATAATCATTCCATAAAGCTCTGTGGTGTCTGTCTCCTGCCAGCTGCAAGTGAAAGTGATAGATGCCACTATTATGGGACACCCCAGAGTGGCTGAGACCATGTGGCAGCACTTAAGTACCAGGGACACTGGGTCAGTTACTGAAATGGTTAGAATGGTGGAGCAGGAATCAGAATGCTGTGACCCAATGTGACCCAATGTGGCTATTTGGTCAGTGTCTTTAGGATTTGTAGATGGGCAACCAGTCGGAGTAGTACTTACAATCAGAAATATTTGCGACCTGGACAACAGGAATTGATATTGTCAGTTTGTCACCACAGTAGAGTTGTGTCCTATCACCCTAATCTCTGGCAAGCTAATTCAAAAACTTAAAGTCTTTTGAGTGAAGGAGAGATGGAACCTCCTTGAGGAGGTGCTCGCGACACCACCACAGTTCTATAGTGTAAATATTCCTGCAAGATTCCCCCGAAGGACCTGCATCGACATATCGGGATGACAATGACTTGAAGAAAGGGAAATACAATATCTTTAGTAATTGTAGATAATACATTTGAATTAATGTTAATCTCTGGTGACCTGAAATAATATCCATGCATCCATGATCTGCAAGAGTGGGGGCTTGTGGAGGTGGAAGACAGACGGAGTTTTGGTCTAAATCCGTCTCACGGTGGGTCTACAAAGTCTTCGAGTCTTCCTCAGCATTACTTCCAACGTTTTTGAATGCATGATTGGAATTGATCTACGGGTAACTGGCAGAATTATTATGTTGAGTCCCTGATTTATGGACTGAGGACTACTAAGGTAGAAAGATTCAAGCAAAAGTCCCTGGGATGGTAAACCAAAGTGAATGTCATACACCTGATGAACTACAAGAGTCAGTGCCCCAGCCAAAGACTTGAAAGATGCAGGGATGGTGATTCCTCCCATATCCCCTCTTATTGTGCCTATTGACCTGGCCAGAAGACAGATGGGTCTTGCAGAATGACTGTGCGTTTTTAAAAACTTAATCAGATATGATGACAATTGCAGCAGCCATCTAGTGGGAGCAGGTGCTGCTGGAGACTGAGCCAGCTGTTCATCCAGCTTTCTACTCATTTATGGTATGCTGCTCTGGATGTCCACTGCTATAACCTGGGCTTCAGATAATATCCAGCTACTAATGAGCAGCAGTGACTGAATGACATTGGGTTCTGTGGTCAGGCATTCAGTCTCAACTAGAGCTCAGCAGTAAGCCAGAAGCTGTTTCTCAAAGGATTATTTGAAGAGGATCACATGGCTTTGCTTTAAAACCTTAGAGGTTTGTACTACTACTAGGGTTAGCCAGAGATTCCATACAGTGTCCTTATCTGCCACAAACACAGTATGCATCACTAAATCTTCCAGATTATATCCAAGTGGCTGGACAGCTTTCACTAATTGGATTAATTGCAGAGTCTTCTCTTGCTTTCAACCTAATTCACATCTGGACTTACAGGTTTCTTGGTAAATGAGTTAGAGTTACACACTTAAATGTGGTACATGTGGGGCATGACCTTACATTTCAATTTGCCAACAAAACAACAACAACAAACAAAGCCAAAAAAATCCCCCAAAATAACCCAACAATTTTCCCATGCCAGTCGTTAATTATAAAAGATAAAAATCTCCGCTGGGCACGGTGGCCAGCACTTTGGGAGGCCTAGACGGGCGGATCATGAGGTCAGGAGATCGAGATCCACCTGGCCAATATGGTGAAACCCCGTCTCTACTAAAAATACAAAAAATTAGCCGGGCGTGGTGGCAGGCGCCTGTAGTCCCAGCTACTCCGGAGGCTGAGGCAGGAGAGTGGCGTGAACCCAAGAGGCAGAGCTTGCAGTGAGCCACGATGGCGCCACTGCACTCCGGTCTGGGCAACAGAGCGAGACCCCATCTAAAAAAAAAAAAGAAAAAAGAAAAATCTCAACCAACTGAGCGCCTTAATGTTTTATTCCTCTGGACACACACTTTCACTCTTATAGAGACCTTCATCATTGGATGCCCTGGAAAAAACAACTGACTCTTTCATAGAGCTTCAATATGTTACTCTCTTGGACAAATACTGTGAATTTTTATAGATATTTAATATTTGTTGGGCAAATATGTAACCTCTTTCGAATGTATGTTATCAGTTCCCATTTCAAATAGCGTGTTTGGAAAGTATCTAATATTTATGGTGGCAAAGTCTAATCTCACCATTCTGCTGAGTATCAAGAGGTTTCATCTCTCCTTCTAGGGCTTCCTCCCTTGATGACTGCAAGGAAATTCTCAGAGAATTCTTGGATTATATTTGTACAGGAATGAAATGTTGATGTACTGAGGGTGTAGTAGTTGTATTAGTCTGTTTTCATGCTGCTGATAAAGACATACCCGAGACTGGGCAATTTACAAAAGAAAGAAGTTTAATGGACTCACAGTTCATGTGGCTGGGGAGGCCTCACAATCATGGAAGAAGGTGAAAGTCACATCTCACATGGCAGCGGACAAGAGAAGAGAGCTTGTGCAGGGAAACTCCCCTTTATAAAACCATCAAATTTCTTGAGACTTATTCACTATCATGAAAACAACATGGGAAAGACTCACCCCCATGATTCAATTACCTCCCACCAGGTCCCTCCCATTACACGTGGGAATTGGGGGCGCTACAATTCAAGATGAGATTTGGGTGGGGACACAGCCAAACTGTATCAGTAGTCAATGCCCAAAGCTGGTAAACACGTATCATCTTCCTTCCTTTAAAGCAGTTTTTGTAAATAAGAGTCTTATTCTTAAATTTCTACAATGACCTCCACTTCCCATTTCCAAATGCTTTTCAAAGCTTAGAGGATGGAAAATCTGTTAAAGAATTAAATGTAAGGATCCAATTTATTGGTACGTTAGTTAAAGTCATACATTGGCCCCCACTCTATTGCCATTTTTCCCACAGACAGAAGAAAGGGTGCAGATATGGAGAACAGAGAAGGGTTACAATGAAAGGAGAGAAGAAATCCTGGAGTGGTGGGAATTTGTAGGAAGGGAAAGTGTTGGAGAAAGGGTAGGGAGAAAAGCTCCTGAAACTTAAGCCATCCTGATCTTTTTCCACCTGCAGAGCAGGGCATTAGAGAAGAAAATGACTGGTTTGAAGGAAGCACACCACCTACCCTTGACAGGAAATCAGACCCAGGCTGGGTGTGTGTGGGCTGTTCTAATTGCTGTCTTACCACAGCAAATTGCTTAGTGACGTGAAACCTGTTTTGCTGGCTTTTGTTCTCACTTCCCAACACTGGATCATGAGCCTCCTGAAAAGCACTCACCCAGCCCTGCAGGTTTCTTGCCTGTCCTTTCTGTGACTCTAATTTCTACCTGTTTCTTCTTTTCCTCATCTGATTTCACTCACTGCTTTCTGTGGCTGGAGCCCCCTTGGCCTAAGAAGGGCTTTAAAGAGCCGCAGCCATGGCTTCTGGGGCCTTTGGACCTGTCCCCTCCATCTCTGTCACCCCTGCTGCAGCTGAGTTACATTAATCCCCATATACCAAAGCCAGCACCATGCAGAGACTTATGGGTGCCTGGAGCTAAAGAAACAATGTGCACCCCTATCAACATGTTCTCATCTGTCTTTTAATGATATTATATTTTAGAATACTAAAGAAGTTGAAAAATATTGAAAAATTGATTGGCAAATATATTACAACTTACAACATTATTGCAAATTTAAATATTTTATTTGTATTCCATAAAAGAATCTATTTATTATAATTTGACTTTCCTACCTCTGATGGAAGCAAAAACATCAATAGTATCTCTAAAATTTACTTCCGGAAAAATATCAATCATTAAAAAATAAGGCTTGGCATGGCCCTTGTTGGATCCTGTCTTTATTTTTAAATTCTGATATTTTGTTTATCCTGGATTTTTTTCCATTGATTTTGTTTTTCAAAAAAAATTGCATTAAAATAATTTTTGTCTTAATTACTGAATTTTGGGGGCACTCCCTCAAATTTTAGGCCCAAGGCAAGTGTTTCTCCTACCTCATCCTTATCCTGGCACTGACAAAGCTGTGCTTTTGTTCTATCTTCTTTTTATTTTTTATTTTTAGTTACAGGGTCTTGCTTTGTTTTCCAGGCTGGTCTTGAACTCCTGGTCTCAAGCAATCCTCCCAAAGTAGCTGGGATTACAGTCAGTGCTGTGTTCTACATCAGAGGGGGCAGAGGGCTTGCCTGCTGATGTTAGCAGAACACCTGGATGGATTACTCCAACAGGCAGATAAAACACATGCTTGAGGCACCTGCAAAGTAGACACACCAAAACCCCTGGTATGATGGGGGTGGTGAGGAAGGCTGGGGGCTGATTTAATTTATAGGGATTTGTGTGGGAAGGGCCATTGGGTCAGCAAACATTTTCTGCAAAGGGCCAGAGAGCAAATTTTTTTGACTTTGCTGCCCATACAGTGGGAGATATTCAACTCTGTCTTTGTATCACTAAAGAATGCATAGACAATACATTAATTAATGAGCATG
The DNA here is from genome assembly GCF_000001405.40 of Homo sapiens. Classification (NCBI taxonomy): domain Eukaryota; kingdom Metazoa; phylum Chordata; class Mammalia; order Primates; family Hominidae; genus Homo; species Homo sapiens. Next base: position 31,466,334 of record NC_000002.12, on the reverse strand, counting down.
GCTCTATATTCCAATAAAATTTTATTTACGAAAACAGAAGGAGGTCAAGATTTGGTTTGCAGGCTGTGGTTTTCTGACCCTTGTCCTAGAATATCCTAAATCAAACAAAATTTATCATCACAAAAGTTAATTTTCTTCCAAAAACTTACCTCTGACCTACCTCAAAAAACCCACTAGCACAATTCTCTGACCATATCAAGATCCACTGACTCCACCACTTTTCTGCTTTTCATCCTCCCATCTCCCCTCATGGGCTCACTTCCCTCCTTATCTTACATGGTTCCATGAACTGTCAATAACACTGTAAATATAATAGTTCCTTGCTCACACTGGTAATTCTCTTGCTATGTCCCCCTCACCCCATTCACTTATCTGGCAAACCCTCAGCCCTGGGTAAATCTGACATTTGGCTTTCTCCGAGTTTTTACACTATCCTGCAGACTGATCTTGCTCTAAATTGATGTCCACACATTTCAAATGGGCCCCATTCACTCTATTTCATTTCCCTCATCAATTGCTCTCCTACTCTGAGTCAACTTGTCCTCATCTCCTCCCCTTGGCAAACCTCTACCCCTAACCCTCTGCCTACTCTCCACTGATGATATCACCTCTTATTTGAGTGAGAAAACAGAAGCAATACAAAGAGAACTGCCTCATCTTATCACCACCAGATCCACCAACCAATCTGCAGGAGCCTACTTTCTGCCCCAGGGTGAGCAGCCCCTGCTTCCATACAAGGATCTCTCCTGTTAGAAACTCTCCTTGCCCCTACACCAATTCTAGTTTATGTTCCATGTCTGTGGCTTCCTTAAAAGCAACTCTCCTAGAAAGGCTTGTCTATGCTTTTTTTCTCCACATCTTCACTTCCCATTCTGTCCTCCACCACCTCCATTCCATCTTGCTATCATCAAGAGTCAATTCTCTTTCCTTAACTTACTCAACTCTCAACAACACTTCTTTTTTCTCAAAACCATGTCTTCACTTTGATTTTGGAATACCACACTCTGTTTTTTCTCTTACCTCTCTGGCTACTGCTTGTTAGTTTCTTTTTATGCTCCTGCTATTAAATCCTGGAGTCCCCCAGAATTCAATCTTAAGATTTCTTTTTTTTTCATTTTCCAAGTGATCTCAAATAATGGCATGATTTTAAATATCATCTGTATGCTGGTAACTCCTAAATTTATATCTCAAGTCTTGACATCTTCCCTTACTTCCAGACTTGTAAATCTGTCTACTCAAAAGGTCAGCTTGAATATTTAATAAACATCATAAATTTAACAGGTCCAGGGCAGAACTTGATCAACCACCATTTTCCAAACCCCTTCATCTCCCATTAAATGATATTGCCATTTATCTGGTTGTTCAGGTCAAATTTTTGGAGGCATTTTAACTCTTCTTTCTTTCATACCTCACTTACAATTATTCAACTATGTCTTCAAAATATATTCCAAATCTTTTTATTCACCCTAATCTCCACTGTTAACCATCTTATTCTGTGCCACTGTGGTTGTTTTCAAATTTGAAAATTATTTGCTTCTCTCCCTTCAAAATTTGGATTTTAATTCTCATGCTCTTGAATGTGAGTTATACTTAGTGATTCATTTCTAATGGATGCAATGTGGTGGAAGAGAGGGCTGTGAAATCGCTTGTTCTGGGGAAAACCAGCTGCCATGTCAGAACGATGTGCAGGTGCCCTTTGGAGAAATCCAAGTGGTGAGGAACTGAGACTTTCTGTCAACAGCCATGTGAGTGACCCATCCTGGAAGTGGATCCATCAGCCCAAGTCAAGCCTTCAGATAATGTCAGCCCTGGCTGACACCTTGGCTGTAGCTTCATGAGAAACCCTGAACCAGAATTACTCAGCTAAGTGACTTCTGGAATATAAATATGTGAGATAATAAATGTTTATTATTTTAAGCTTTAAATTTTGGGGATAATTTGTTATTTAACAATAGATAAATAATATACTTTATTAGTTTCCTAGGGTTGCCATAACAAATTACTACAAACTGGGTGGGTTAAAACAACAGAAATTTGTTCTCAAACAGTTCTGGAGGATAGATGTCTGAAAAAAAGATGTTGGTAGGGCTACATTCTCTCTCTGAAAGATCTAGGGAGGACTTCCTCCCTGCTTCTTCCAGCTTCGGTGGGCCTAAACATCCCTTGGTTGTAGCTCCATTACATAATTGTCTGCTCCAACCTTCACATGGCTTTCTCCACTATCTCTTTGTCTTCCATCTCTTATAAGGACACTTGTCATTAGATTTAGGGCCCATCAGGATAATCCAGGATTACCTCACCTTGAGATCCTTAACTTGATTACATCTGTAAAGACTTAATTTCCAAATAAAGTCACAGTCACAAGTTCCAGGAGTTAGGATGTAGACATATCATTGGGACGACCACCTTTAAACCCACTGCATACACCATCATCATTTCTTATCAGGGTGGCATCTTAACAGGTCTCTGTATTTCTATTTTTACACACACACACACACACACACACACACACACACACACACACCCCACATATGGTTTTTTCTGTATACAGCAACCTGAATGGTCTTTTAACACATAGTCATATCATGACACTCCCCTCTAATGAATTCTTAACACGTTTAGAATAAAATTCAAACTCCTTCCATGGCTAATAGGGTAGGTAGATTTGGCCTAGCCTATCTCTGACCTAATTTGTTCAGATACTACTGATGTCATCTATGGTCATAGGTGACTCTCAGTCAGAGAAGAACAAGGGCCAAGAAAGTTATCATGACAATGGGAGGCCAGTCATTCACAGGAGGAGTATGTGAATAACACACATCCAGAAGCTTAAGCTGAAATCAGTATGTAAGTTTCACAGAGGCTGGAAGGAATATACAGGGAATGGAATGACTGAAAACACTCTCAGGGATTGAGACTCAGAAGGATGGGAAAGAGTAGATATCAGATAGAGAAGTCAGAGATACACCTGTGGAGTTCAGCATAAATGAGTGAATCCATGGAGGAGGCATAGCATTGTTATAACGACTGGTATTAGTATATTCATTCCTCTTTCCTCCTCTGCATTCCTGGATCCTGCACATGTGTAGTGATACCAGGAAGATGTAAGACTCCACAGAGGATTGTAACTGGACTTCAGCAGTTACTCCAGGTTCACAATATAAGGACTTTTGAAAAAATGAATTGCCCAGGTATGTGAATATTAGAGTGGTAGAGTAAAATAAATATGAGTTAGACATCTATTTTCAAATCCCAATTCTTCCACTTAGTAAGTATGGACTTGTTTAAGTTACCTGCACTCTTTGACTCTCATCTTGCAGAATTCTTCTGCAAAATGGGGATAATAATACCTGTGCTGAATGCTCTGGATTGGGCCTCTCAGCCTCCATTTCAGCAGTCTTCTCATTGGAGAGGTTGAAAAACTAAAAACTACATTTCCCAGATTTCTCTGTGGCAGAGTTTAGGATGTGAATTCAGTTATATCAATCATACAATTTGTCACATATAATATTTAGAAAGTTAGAGGTGAAATGTAAGTAAAATTTTCCTGCAAGAAGGTTGTAGAAACCTGTGACACTCCTACGGATTGCTCTAAAGTTCCAGTCCCCAGCTTCGTGGAGGTAGAAGAAGTGGTAGTGTCCACACTACTTCTTCTCATTTTTACAATTTTTTTATTTTTAATTTTTGTGGCTACATAGTAGGTGTATATACTTATGGAGCAAATGTGATGTTGTGATATAGGCAGACAATGTTTAATAACCACATCATGGAAAATAGGGTATCCATCCCCTCACACATTTATTCTTTGTGTTACAAACAATCCATTTATACTCTTTTAGTTATTTAAAAATGTACAATTAAATTGTTATTGACTATAGTCACCCTGTTGTGCTATCAAATACGAGTTCTTATTTATTCTATTTTTTATACCCATTAAACATCCCTATCTCCCCCCACCCCGCCCAGCAGCCCACTACTTTGTCTAGCCTCTGGTAACCATCCTTCTAGTCTTTATCTCCATGAGTTCAATTGTTTTGATTTTTAGATATCAAAAGTAAGTGAGTACATGTGATGTTTGTCTTTCTATGCATGGCTTATTTCCCTTAACATAATGGCTTCCTGTTCTATCCATGTTGTGGCAAATGACAGAATCTCATTCTTCTTACAGCTGAATAGTAAGTACTCCATTGTGTATATTTACCACATTTTCTTTATTCATTCATCTGTTGATGCACACTTAGGTTGCTTCCAAATCTTGGCTATTGTAAACAGTGCTGCAACAAACATAGGAGTGCAGCTATCTGTTTGATAGAATGATTTCCTTTCTTTTGAGTTTTTACCCAGCAGTGGGATAGCTGAATCACATGGTAGCTCAATTTTTAGCTTTTTGAGGAGCCTCCAAACTGTTCTCCATAGTGGTTGTACTAATTTACATTCCCACCAGCAGTGTATAGGGTTCACTTTTCTTCACATCCTTGCCAGCATTTGTTATTGCCTGTCTTTTGGATATAAGCCATTTCAACTGGGGACAGATTATATCTCACTGTATTTTTGATTTCCATTTTTCTGATGATCAGTGATGTTGAGCACATTTTCATATGCCTATTTGCCATTTGTATGTATTCTTTTGAGAAATGTCTATTCAAATCTTTTGCCCATCTTTTGATTGGATTATTAGGCTATTTACTGTAGAGTTACTTGAGCTCCTTATATATTCTGGTTATTAATCTCTTGTCAGATGGGTAGTTTGCAAATATTTTCTCGCATTCTGTGGGTTGTCTCCTCACTTTGTTGATTGTATCCTTTGCTGTTCAGAAGCTTTTTAATCTGATGTGATTCCATTTGTTCATTTTTGCTTTGGTTGCCTGTACTCATGAGGTATTGCTCAAGATACTTTTGCCAAGACTAATGTCTTAGAGATTTTCCCCAATGTTTTCTTGTACTAGTTTCACCATTTAAGGTCTTAGATTTAAGTCTTTAGTCCATTTTGATTTTATTTTTGTATATGGTGAGAGATAGGGGTCTAAGTTTCATTCTTCTGCATATGGATATCCAATTTTCTCAGTGCCATTTATTGAAGAGACTATCTTTTCCCCAGCATGTATTCTAGGTACCTTTGTACCAAGTTCACTGTAGGTGTGTGAATTTGTTTCTGTGTTCTCTATTCTGTTCCATTGATCTATGAGTCTGTGTTTATGCCAGTACCATGCTCTTTTTGTTACTATAGCTCTGTAGTATATTTTTTAGTTAGGTAATGTAAGTTTTCCAGTTTTATTCTTTTTGTTTAGGATACTTTTGGTTATTCTGGGTCTTTTGTGGCTCTATGTAAATTTTAGAATTGTTTGTTTGTGTTTATATGAAGAACGTCATTGGTATTTTGTAAGGGATTTGCACTTAATCCGTAGATTGCTTTGGGTAGTGTGGACATTTTAACAATATTGATTCTTCCAATGTGTGAACATGGAATATCTTTCCATTTTTTGTGTCTTCCTTAATTTATTTCATTTGTGTTTTTTATTCATTGTTGGTATCTTTCACTTCTTTGGTTAATTCTAGGTATTTAATTTTATGTGTGGCTATCACAAATTGGATTACTTTTAAAATTTATTTTTCAGATTGTTCACTATTGGGATATAGAAACGCTACTGATTTTTGTATGTTGATTTTGTATCCTGCAACTTTACTGAATTTGTTTATCAGTTCTAACAATTTTTCGATGGAGTCTTTAGGTATTTCCAAATATAAGGTTATATCATCTGCAAACAAGGATAATTTGACTTCTTCCTTTTCAATTTGGATGTCCTACATTTCTTTTTTTCTAATGGCTCTAGCTAGGACTTTCAGTAGTATGTTGAATAACAGTGGTGAAAGTGGGCATTCTTGTTGTGTTCTAGATCTTAGAGGAAAGGCTTTCAGTTTTTCCCTATTCAGTATGATACTAGTGGTAAGTCTGTCATTGATGGCTTTTATTACGGTGAGGTATGTTTCTTCTATGCCCAGTTTTTCAAGTGAATTTATCATGAAGGGATGTTGAATTTTATGGAATGCTTTTTCTGCATCAATTGAAATGATCATATGGTTTTTGTCCTTCATTCTGTTGATATGATATATCACATTGATTAATTTGCATATGTTGAACCATCCTTGCATCTGTGGGATAAATGCCACTTGGTCATGATGAATGATCTTTTTAATATATTCTTGAATTCAGTTTGCTAGTATTTTGTTGAGAATTTTTACATCAATAGTCATTGGGGATATGGCCTGTAGATTTCTTTTTATGGTGTATCTTTGTCTGGTTTTTGTATTAGGGTAATACTGCCCTCGTATAATAAGTTTGGAAGTATTCCCTACTTATCTATTTTTTGAAATAGTTTGAGTAGAATTGGTATTAGTTCTTCTTTAATTGTTTGGTAGAATTCAGCAGTGAAGCCATTAGATCCCAGGCTTTTCTTTACTGGGAGACTTTTTGTTATGGCTTCTATCTTGTTACTTGTTATTGGTATGTTTAGGTTTTGGATTTCCTCATGCTTGAAAAAACTCAGCCATGAAGAAATTCAACCATGGTAGGTAGGTTGTGTAAGCTGTGTAGGAATTTGTCCATTTCTTCTGGACTTTCCAATTTATTGGCATATAATTGCTCATAGTAGACGGTAGTGGTCCTTTGAATTTCTGTGAAATCAGTTGTAATGTCTCCTTTTTCTTTTCTGATTTTGGATGTTCTCTCTTTTTTTCTTTATTAGTCTGGCTAAATGTTTGTCAATTTTGTTTAACTTTTCAAAAAAATCAACTTTTTTTTCATTGATCTTTTGTATCATTTCCTTCATTTCAATTTCACTTATTTCTGCTCTAATCTTTATTATTAATATTTATTTTCTTCTATTTTTTGATTTGGTTTGCTCTTGCTTTTCTAGCTCTTTAAGGTGTATCATTCTATTGTTTATCTGAAGTTTGTCTTCTTTTTTGAAGTAGGCACTTATAACTATAAACTTCCCTCTTAGTACTGCTTTTGCTGTATCTCACAGGCTTTGGTATGTTGTGTTTCCTCTATGATTTGTTTCAAGAAAATTTTCAATTTTCTTTTCAACTTCTTCATTGACCCCACTGGTCATTCAGGAGCACATTGTTGAATTTCCATGTATTTGTATAGTTTCCAAAACTCCTCCTGTTGTTGATTTCTCCTCTTGTTGTTGCATTGTGGTCAGTGAAAATGCTTGATATTATTTCAATTTTGTTGAATGTTTTGACCTGTTTTGTGACCCAACACTCTCAAGGATTTGTCCTTGAGGATGATCCATGTGCTGAGGAAAAGAATGTGTATTTTTTCAGACATTGGATAAAATGTTCCATAAATATCTATTAGGTCCATTTGGTCTATAGTGCAGATTAAGTCCAGTGTTTCTTTGTTGGTTTTCTGTCTGGAAGGGCTTTCCAATGCTGAAAGTGGAGTGTTGCAGTCTTTAGTTATTATTGTATTGAGGCCTGTCTTGCTCTCTAGCTCTAATAATATTTGCTTTATGTATCTGGGTGATCCAGTGTTGGGTGCACATATATTTAAAATTGTTATATCCTCTTGCTGAATTGACTGCTTTATTATTGATAGTGACAGGAGGCAGTCAAATGCCTAGGCAGATAAGAGCAGGTCCTCAGTGAATCCTCACCTCCAAGCTGAAGACAGTTTAAAGCCTGAAAGCCAAGCTACAAGTTAAATCCATGGACTGATTGAGAACGTGTCTTTCCTTTTGGCATGCTTTCCTCTGATCCACACCCTTCACCTATTTTACATATACCTACCCTTTCCTAATTGGTTTTCTACACTGTTGTGCCCACCTTTGAGTGGTGTCTTTGCTTTAAATTTTCTTGCATGCTCACAAACCAATCAGCATACACTCCCTGTTGTGAGTCTATAAAAAGCCCCAGACCCAGCCACATTGAGAGGCAAAAAACCCACCTGACTGCAGGGGTGGGGTACCTCCCCCAACATCCCCTCTCCACTGAGAGCTGTTCCATCACTCAATAAAATTCTTCTTCACCCATCAGCATGACTTCATTCTTGGATGCTGGGCAGGAGCTCAAGACCCACCTAGTGTGGGTACCCAGAAAGGCTGTCACACTGGCCCTTTGCCCTTGCCAGAGGGCAGCTGCTCCATGCAATTGATCCAGGGGCCAACTGAGCTGCTAACATGTCACCGTCCATTGGGCTGTGGACGGCAGAACTAAAAGAGCTAATTAGCACACTAACACCCACTATGGGGCTTCAAAATCGTGAGCACCCATGTCTGGATGCCACTGTATTGCCCTCAAGGTGACATGCCTGGTCTGGCTGTGGGACCCACGTGGAGCTTGCTCCTGTGTCAGTGCTCAGAGTGGCTGGCCGGATCCTGCCTTGCTCGCTCATGTGCTCCCTTCTGCAAGAAGGTGAGCATGGTAGGCCAAGTAGATAAGGCACCCCTGCTGTGAGTCTGGCAAAGGGGCCAAGAAAAATCCTGTGTCATTTTGGAGGCTTGCCCAGGATCCCTGAAGGGTGAGTGAATGCGAACCAAGATGCTTCACTTTTTCTGAGGCTTCTTGTCCTCAGACTTTTTTCTGAAGGCAGATGAAGCACTGAACCTCTGATTAGCTAGTTAAGAATGAATGGTACAACTACACAGGACAAGATGCTGGAGGGGACCCTTCTGTCACTCTTGGGAGCTGGAAATATCAGTCTTACTCCTTTCTGTGATATTTTCCTTCTTGTTTTGGGGGCTGTCATGGTACCTATCTTGTCTTTTACAATGTTAAGAGTGTTGTTGCAAACTACAGAGATATTACTGACTAGAATGGGTGCTTGGCCCAGTCATCAAAAATGTAATTCAGAACAATGTGTTTTCTGTCTGTTCTTAGAGGCAAAAAGGGTACAGTGTTTAAGAGTTTTTTTTTCCTATAGAAGAAACTCATTTGCATACAGTGAGAGGCTTTTTCCCACAAGCACCTACCCCACCCCCACACTTAGGTTGTGTTTTTCTTTTTCTCTACCATGTCAGAAGTTAACATAGCCCTGCAAATATGGGGAGCTTTTCTATGTGAGAGTTTTTCTTTTTTCCTTTTGAAAGGCATCTTTTTTCCTTTTGAAGGGCCAGGTCCCCCTTTCTCTCCCTTGTTTGAGGAGGACCCAGTTCTACAGCTTTACCTTAGCATTCAGCTTATGATAAAGAGGCAGCAAAGGAGCAGCCCCACTGGCTGCTGTCTGCAGTTTAGCAAGGGCCACCTGGGACTTAATTTAGTGAGTCCATGCACCCTCCTGAGGCAGTTATTTGTCCCAAACTCAATTCCAAGCTTCAGGTTAAAGCCCTAGAAAGGAAAACTGGATCTGAGGGATCCAGAGGCAGATGGCAATGGAATTCAAGGGACACAGCACAGGTGAGCATGACTAATTCCTGCCAACGAGGCCCCCCACCATTTCATGGATGGAGGTCATGCTAGCATCCATGGCATAGATGAGGTTACCAACAGCAGGGAGAATAGAAAATGTGTAGGTGAGTGCAGATAATTCTTACTCTCTAGGACGCCCTATTCCACATGGGTGAAAGTCACATTGGCACCCATGGGTAGCACCCTGTGGAGTTTGCTGGGACTCAGGGATACAAAGACAGAAGAAAGAAGACACTTTTTCTTTCTCTCCCTCATATGCCCTGGGTATTTGCTTGGGGAAAAAAGGCACTAAAGGACACCGTTTCCCCTCTTTCCAGATGGGTAACCAACCATTTTCAGCTACTCTCCATACAACAGGACACTCCTCTCGGTTGCATCCCCCAAACTGGGAAAAGTTAATTTTCCCATATCTTAAACTTTTTGGCTTAAAAATGAGCCAGGAAAAAATTACAGGCCTAACTGAGCAAATCTATTTAGGAGGGACAAGTTTTTTAGTATGCAAATAACCTCTTTGTCTGCTCCCCCTTTACAAGACTCCAGAGTCACAAAAGGGCTCCACAGCTAAGGGAAGGGAGCCCAGAAGCCTGACATACTGGCAAAAGGGTAAAAGGTTTTTGTTTTTTTTTTTTTTTTTAAACTAGCCAGACTTCTGGCCTTCCTCTCCCTGTGCAAACTGGTAGAATGAATGATAAAAATCACTGTTTATATCCTCTGTAAACTTTTGATTAATGGGAAAAAAGGATGTGTGAGGCTAGACTTAACCTGTAACAAATCTGTTGTACTTTGTGCTAAGAATTTATCTTTCTATGTCTTTCTATTAGAAAGAGGGGTACCTTAGGATAGAATGCAGGTCTAGGACCCCATAATCCCACTTTTGAAACTATCCCAGCAAGCTGGTCAGTAACAAACTTTGCTACAGGTCTCTGAAGGGAAAAAAACTGAATGAGGTCTCCATCTTTTTTTATGTCCTTGGGAGCTTGACCATGTAACCATGTGGCAGTACTTTCTTTTGGTGCCTGCCATTTTACAATTGTGGCTCAGGTTCAATCCTGGCTTAGGGAATGAGTACTTTCTGGCTGATATCTGTGTTGCTTTTACAATTTGCTGATTCTCTTTGCCTCCCTTAGCTTCCAGCTTCCGTTCTTAAATCTTCCTTTCTCTGAACTACCTTTAAAGATTCTAGATTTTGTAAAAACTGCTTACCAGCTCTTTGAAAATACCTTGTACACTCACTGTTAAATCATACCTTAGTTAAGGTTTGTTGGTTTCACCTGAGAGGTTACTTTTGGTAAAGTTCAAAAGCCAGAAATATTGGCCACTTGGTATGGCTAAAGTCAGGTAACAAGAGATTTAAAAGGATTTTCTTAAAGAGTGCTATGGTTAAAAGTCAGCTTAATTAAAAGTGGATAGCCATGCTATAGGTATATTTAAAAGGGTTTTATGTTTTTCTCTTCTTGGATCTTGTTTCACTGAAAAAGAGTTTTGTTCTTCTCAGCCAACTGCATTATTTTTCTCAATTTTGTCTTGCTACTCTTTATGCACGCATGAGAGGCCCTAAGATAACTTCTGATGGCCTGGGACTCCCTGGAAAAAGCAGAGGAGGCACCATTGACCCTGTTTTGGAAAAAAACTTCTGCTTTCCTCACGGATCCCCAAGAATTAAAAGTGACTAAATCCCTCTCAAAATATGTTTTTGTCTTTTAGCTATATCCGCTTATTAGGCCATAGAAACTGCATGTTTTCTTACCCTGTTTGTTGAAGGGCTCCACCCCGAGGCCAATAATCTAATTAGGAGATTGGCCAGTGAAAAATCTTACAACTACTGGATCTTCTGTCTGTCTGTGTAGTTATATATGTGTTATGTGTGTGATGTTTATATAAAAAAGAAGCTCTAATTAATTGGCTTAGAGAAGAACACATGCTTAGATTAAATATTTTTTGATGCAAAAAAGAAAAACTGTAATGCTTTTAGTTCATGTGACTTTAATTTTTGAGAAATAAAAACACTTTTAAAGATTATTAGTAAAATACAAATGTCTTCAAAATGTAAATATGTGGTCTAAATTATGTAGGTCAGATACTGGGCTTGTTAAATGCTTTAAGGTTATAAACTGCTTCTTTGGCTTTTGAAAGTTGTTCAACTTGCTTGCTTTATGGTTTGGTAAGACCTGGGGACATAGGGAATTCAAAATGTCCCTAACTGTGCTGGAAAGAGTTAGACCCTGTCTGTGCCTAGTACATAATTAAAATAACTTACCATGCTTTACATTAAAATTAAAAATTGCTAAGGGTTACCATTATAATATGTAATTGAGACTACTGAACATAGATTTACATGCAAGGTGTGCAAGGAAAGTAAAATGTGTTTTTAGTACAAGATTATAAGAAAGCATGGGAATGTAAATTTTTGCCTAGTTCAGAGGGTTAAAGGATTGTTTTAAACCGGATAAAGATAAAGCTGAAGGTTTAAACAAGTTGTGGAAAGTTTGTAAAAATTAATCTTGCAAAAGAAATTTTGTATGTGAACCTATTGACTAAATTCAAAAGAGTATTATATGGTTTTTCCCTAAATTGAACATTAAAATAAAAGAATAAAACAAGGATTTCTTAGGGCACTGATCTGCTCTTTAACAAAAATTTGTAAAGTGTTATAAAAGATTTACAAGAATCTTACCTCATGATCAAACTGGTTAAGATTGGATAGAATTATCTATAATATTTCATTAGAAAATTGGGGTTGACATTAATAGTAGACTAATGAAAGGGTGAAATTTGCTTTCTCTCCCTTGAATGAGATTTTCATGTAATAGTAAAGGATAATAAAAAATTTTTGTTTGCTTTGTGAATCAACTACTCAAAAAAATAAGGAAAAGACAACAGACAGATTGTTTGGAAAGCTAAATCTTTCCTCCTAATGAGTAAAGGTTTTTGCCTTTAAAATTTTTTTTGAGTCATTATTTTGGCTAAGTAAATGACTTATGGAAATCTGGAATTCTATTTCATAATATCAAATGTTTTAAGCCTCTAACATATTTAACAGGCTTCCCAAAATCAAACTTCAGTTTCAAGGTTGTCTTCCTTGACCTCTAACTTTTGGATGCTACAGAGGGCCCCTGGGTCATCCAAAAGAGAGGTAAATAGGATTATTTGACATGTTTAGTTATGTGGAATGCCAAGATAAAAATAATGTTTAATCTTCTTCAGGTTATATTTTACCAAGAAATTTTAATATATGTTCCAACATGGTATGGGGTTTCTAAAAAATTCTAATGTTTGAGTATATGCTATTAATAATAATTAAGGTTATTATGTTAAGTTATTGTAAATCACAGAAATAACCAAATTTCTTTGTCAATTATGTTTTGACTGTGACTACCTGAAGACATTTTATTATTCGTTTTTTGTTTGTTTTGCGTTCTTCTCTTCCTTCTTTCTTTTCTTCCTCTCTCTTTTTTAGTGAATCATATCTGTGGTGATATGCTTTAGTTTCTTGGTTTTTAATCCTTTGTGTATTCATTGTATGACATTTGGTTTGAGGTTACCATGAGGCTTGCAAATGCTATCCTATAACCCATTACTTCAAGGTGGTAACAACTTAATACCATTTATATAAGCAAACAAACAAGTAAAAAGAAAACTAGTAAAAACTCTACATCTTAACTTTGTCCCCCTGTTTTTCAAGTTTCCATTGTTTTTGTTTATATCTTAAGGTATTGTCTATGTCCTGAAAAGTTGTTATAGTTATGATTTTTGATTGGTGCATGATTAGTCTTTCTAGTTAGGACAAGAGTAGTTTACAACCTATAGTTACAGTGTTATAATATTCAGTGTTTTTCTGTGTACTTACTATTACCAGTGAGTTTGTATCTTCAAATGATTTTTTATTGCTCATTAATCTCCTTTTCTTCCTAATTGAAGTACTCCCTGTAGCATTTCTTACAGGGTGTGTCTGGTGTTGATGAAATCCTTCAGCTTTTGTTTGTCTGGGAATATCTTTATTTCTTCTTTATATTTGAAGGATATTTTCCCTATATGTACTATTCTAGAATAAAAGTTTTTTCCTTCAGCCCTTTAAATATGTCATGCCATGCTCTCCTGGCCTGTAAGGTTTCCACTAAAAAGTCTGCTCTGAATGTATTCAAGCTCCATTGTATGTTATGTATTTCTTTACTTTTGGCGCTTTTAGGATCCTTTCTTTATCCTTGACCTTTGGGAATTTAATTATTAGATGGCTTAAGGTAGTCTTCTTTGGATTAAATCTGCTTAATATTTTATAACCTTCTTCTGCTTGAATGTTGATGTATTTCTCTGGGTTTGGGAAATTCTACATTATTATCCCTTTAAATAAACTTTATACCTCTGTTTCTTTCTATATCTCCTCTTTAAGGCCAATAATTCTTAGATTTACCCTTTTGAGGCTATTTTCTACATGCTGCAGATGTGTGTCACTGTTTTTCATTCTTTTTTCTTTTGTCTCCCTTGACCATATATTTTCAAATAGCCTGTCTTCAAGCTCACTAATTCTTTCTTTTGCTTGATCAGTTCTGCTATTTAAAAACTTTGATGCATTTTTCCATGTGTCAATTTATTTTTCAACTCCAGAATTTCTGCTTTATTTTGTTAAATTTATCAGATAGAATTCTCAATTATTTCCCTGTATTGTTTTGAATTTCTTTGAGTTTCCTGAAAACAATTATCTAGAACTCTCTATCTGAAAGATAACTTATCTCTGTTTCTCCAAGATTGTCCCTGGTGCCTTATTTAGTTCATTTGGTGAGATCATGTTTTCCTGCAAGGTCTTGAGACTTGTAGATGTTCATCTGTGTCTGGGTATTGAAGAATTACTGGGTATTCATTGCAGTCTTTGCTGTCTGGGCTTGTTTGTACCCATTCTTCTTGGGAAGGCTTTCCAGATATTCAAAAAGACTTGTGTGTTGTGATCTGAGCTATATCTGCTTTAGGAGACATCCCAAGCCCAGTAATGCTGTGGTTCTTGCAGACTCATAGAGGTACTACCTTGATGGTCTTGTAAAAGATCCAGAAGTATTCCCTGGATTACCAGACATAGACTCTTGTTTTCTTCCTTTACTTTCTCCCAAACAAATGGAGTCTTTCTTTTTCTTTCTTTCTTTTTTCTTTCTCTTTCTTTCTTTCTTTTTTCTTTCTTTCTTTCTTTTTTCTTTCTTTCTTTCTTTCTTTTCTTTCTTTCTTCTCTCTCTCTCTCTTTCTTTTCTTTCTTTCTTTCCTTTGTCTCTCTCTCTCTCTCTCTCTCTCTCTCTCTCTCCCCCCCCCACCCCGAAGCTGGGTGCAGGGTGACATAAGCACCCCTATGGCCACCACCACTAGGACAGTGCTGGTTCTGACCTCAAGCCAATACAGCATTAGGTCTCACCCAAGGCCTATTGTAATCATTACCTCATTACTGCCTATGCTTGCTCAATGCCTTAGGGCTCTGTGATCAGCAGGTGGCAAAGCCATCCAGGCCTGTGTCCTTCCCTCCAGGATGACATGTTACCCCAGGCCTCAGGCAAGTCCAGAGGTGCCATCTGGAAGCCAGGTCAACAACTTTAGAAGTCTATCTAGTGTTCTGTTGTACTCTGATTGAGCTGTCCCCCAAACCACAACATATAGTTCTTCCCACTCTTCCCTCCCCTTTCCAAAGGCAGAGGAGCCTCATCCCATGGCCACCACCAACACAGACACACTGAGAGTGCTACCAGACTACCACCTATGTTCCTTAAAGACCCTATGGCTCTTCAGTCAGCTTGTGGTGAATGATGCCTCGCCTGGGACTCACTGTTCAGGGCAGTGGGTTCCACTCTGCCCCAGAGCAGATCCAGAAATGCCATCCAAGTCCTAGGTCCTGGAATTGGGGGCTCCAAGAGCCTGCTTGGTGCTCTACGCACCTATGGCCTAGCTGGTACCTGAGGTGAAAGACAGAGCTCCCTTTATTTTTCCCTCCACTTTTCTCAAGCAGAAGGAGTCTCGCCCCATGGCCACTACAGCTCAGAATGTGCTGAGTCTCACCTGAATCCAGCTAGTCTCAGAGTCTCACCCAAGGCCCACGATGTACTACCTGGGTATTGCTGGTGGTTATTCAGGGCCCAAGGCTTCTTCAGTTAGCAGGTGATGAATCCTGCCAGAAGTAGGTCCTTCTCTTCAAGGCAGTAGGTCCCTTTCTGGTGTAGGGTATGTGTAGAAATATCATCTGAGAGCTAGGACCTGGAAAGGGTGTCTCATGCCTCTGACCAATGCCGTAATCCTGCTGTGGCTGAGCTGGTATCCAATGTGCAAAACAAAGACCTCCCCACTCTTACCTCTCCTCTCCTCAAGCAGAAGGAAGGGAGCTCTTTTGGAGCCATGAGCTGTGCAGCCTGGGGTTAGGAAAGGGGTGATGCCACTCCCTTAGCCACTCTAGCTGATGTCTCAGTAGGTCATGTTCCCACTCCTCCCCTACCCAGTACACAGGCACTGGACCTAGTTCAGCACTAGGACTCACCTAGAAGGTTCAGACTTTGTGGCCTAGATTGCCATCCAAGTTAATTTAGGGCCCCAGAGCACTTTAGATCATGATGGAAAGGCTTGTGGGAACTCAAGTTCTGACCACTGAGATTGGTGATTCCTCTCTGGCTAGGAATGTTCACTCCATGGGTGGGTGTCAGCTGAGTTTGGTCCAATTTTGCTTTCTGCTATAACAGGGCAGAACTGAGTTCAATGTCTCACAAATGCTGCACTCTCCTTCTTCCCAACATAGAATCGCTCTCTGCATCATGCTGTCACTGCTGGATATGGGGAAGGGGTGGCATTGGTGATTCAGTACTGCTTTTCCTACCTCTTCGATACCTCTTTCAGTGATGCAAAGTTAAAACCAGATACTATGAGTGCTCACCTGTGTTTTGATTCTCATGAACGTACTTCTTTGGTGTGTAGATAGTTGTTAAATTGGTGTCCTTCTGGGAGCATGATTGATGGCGCCTTCTACTTTGACATCCTGCCCCATGCTACCTCCTCTGTGACTTCTAATCTTAATTACAGCCTGGGGTGTCCACTGTCCAATTTCCTAGGCATGAGAGGCAGCAAGCAAGGCAGTGACTTTTTGTATCTATAGCTACAGTGACAGTCTCAAAGGAGTCGTTTCCATGATGGATGAGTTCTATACTCCTGGGGATTATTCCAGGAGGACCAGTCTAGAACCTGATCCTTAAGCCCCTACAATGATTTTGAAAATATCTAATTCTCTGAATTAAGTCCCTTCCTGCTTAAAATTCTCAAAGTAGTTTCTACTTTCTGAACCGAAGAATGGAACCCATAAAAAGACATAAGAGTTGTTGCCTGGGAAAGGCCAATTGACCCATCATGAAGAAGCCTCACATTGCCAAGTGACATTTACCTTGGTGAATACACTGAGTTCCAGTAAAGGCCCTTGGCTTGCGATCTTAGGACCCAATATACTAGAGATGATAGGGGTTAGATGCTCAGTAATGCTAACAGAGCTATCAAGAAGAAGATTTATAAAACCCAAATGCTGTTTTAATTATTTACAATGAGGAATGTGTTATGAGGAAGACTAGAAGCATATTGGCCTGACCAGCACTTTTGCTGATTTGTGATCGAGACACATGAGAACTCAATTTTTCAAAGGATTCTCATTGAGTAGGTGTATTAGTCTGTTTTCATGATGCTAATAAAGACATACCTGAGACTGGGAAGAAAAAGAGGTTTAATTGGACTTACAGTTCCACATGGCTGGGAAGGCCTCAAAATCATGGCAGGAGGTGAAAGGCACTTCTAACATGGTGGGAGCAAGAGAAAATGAGGAGGAAGCAAAAGCAGAAACCTCTGATAAACCCATCAGATCTCATGAGACTTATTCACTATTATGAAAGTAGCATGGGAAAGACCTGCCCCCATGATTCAATTACCTCTCCCTGGGTCCCTCCCACCACACATGGGAATTCTGAGAGATACAATTCAAATTGAGATTTGGGTGGGGACACAGCCAAACCATATCAGTAGGCAACGGAAGCAAAAGAAGAGCCACCACAGGGAAGGACTTGCCCCCTGGACCAGATTAACCAAGGGTCCTGGGCACCCTCTCCCCTGGACAGTGCTTGAATGCATTTTCCAAAATGGTGTCTCTGGGCTCCTCTTTTTCTGTGCTTTCAAAGCAGATCATTTTCCCTTCTGATCCTAAACATGGAGGTGCAGGCAGGCAAGGGGGTAAATTGCAATGTGAACACTGATTACGCCTTCCTAAGTAATCTGCCAACAAGAGACTCAATCTGAAGAGTTTTCTCCTCAAACAGAACTTTGGCCTAATTTCTGTTTAACACTCATTATCTTCAGAAAAGTGTGCAACAGCTGAGCTAAGGTGAGCTCTAGTCAGGAAGACTAGGCTTAATATTGATAAACAAGAAATAAACTCTACGTCTTTAAGAAGAGGCTGTATTTAACAAAGCATCCGGCTGTGCTATTTTCTGACATGAAAGAGTAGCCCTCGGAGAATTTCCTAGATTGGTTGGCATCAGTCAAAGAAGACTAAATCATTCTTCACAAATAACGAAAGCAAAATTTTGAGTGTTCAAGGGCAACTTCGAAGCAGACGAGGTGAGGACAGCACCTCTCCAACCCCACCCTGCCTCATGATTCCTTCCATCTTCCTCCCCTCACCAAAGACACAAGGAATAACCTAAGGAAAAAATAGAGGGTGTGTTGGGAAGAGGTCCTAGCAAGATGCACAAAACAGAGAAGAGAAGGCAGATGAGAAGTTCTATATTCAATCTTGGGGAGTTTCTCAGGACTGTGACTTCTCTGCTAGTATTCCAAGATCTTCACTACATCCCTACTCTTCATATCTCCATGTATGAATGATGCTTGGGAAAATGTTTTCAAAAAGGGACTGAGTGCTCCAGGTTTGGGTTTATGTAAGGTAGAGAAGAAAAGAGCTGCAAGAGGGAAGATACAGCAGAGAACAAGAATTCTGTGACAGGAGAAAGTTGAACCAAGTGATGACCAGGAGAAATATTAACATAAGTCTCTAAGAATTCCTAGCAATCATAGTGAAAGAAGGGTGGAGAGAGCTTGTCATATGCATGACAGAGTCATTTAATCCACTTTTGTTTAAATCTCAAAGGATAGGGCAATTGGGATGGCCTGGAAAACTTGGGCCAGAATCAATGCAGTCAAAAACTTGGGCCAGAATAAATGCAGTTAACAGAGAAGGAAGGGGTTAAGTAGAAGATAATGTATTGTAAAGCCTTGTGTCTTGCATGTAGAACAGATATTTCACCTTCTTAATATTCTTCTTATCCACTTGAAAATTGTCAATAACTTGACTTTCCAGAAGCCAGAGGAAAAGCTTTTCCTCTGGCATTTCTTAGACTCTTGTCATCCACCCCATGTTGTCTGACTGGCCAATGTGGTTGCCTTTTAATTTCTAAAAGCATCCCTGCACACTCTTCTCACTGTACACGAGGTCACGTCAATTCGTGCTTCTCTGACTTAAAAGAAAGCACAGTACCTCCTCTTTGTTCTTTAATTCTTAAAAGAATTCTGATGGAGAGCAATAAAA
The DNA here is from genome assembly GCF_000001405.40 of Homo sapiens. NCBI lineage: Eukaryota > Metazoa > Chordata > Mammalia > Primates > Hominidae > Homo > Homo sapiens. The sequence continues at coordinate 31,447,352 of NC_000002.12, read as the reverse complement.
TTTCAGCCTAGTAAAGATACTAGGGTCTTAAATACTTGATGAAAGGCCCTTTCTTTTGATAGGAGAATATCTTCTTCCAATTAGAAAAAAACAAACAGATTCTTAAGGTTAAGTCACGTAGCTTCTTGCCTGGTGCCCACATGAGAGCTTCTACGGACTCATGTGAGTGAAGTCCTGTGGTAGAAATGATTTCTTGTTACAGAAGAGGACAAAGCTGAGCATGAGGAGTGGAAATAGTCAGACAGCTATGTGTGCTCTCTGGAAAGTTCTACGAGGCTGCCAAATGCTTCCCTTGAAAGAGTGAGACAGAGTGCCTATAAAAAATCATGATACCAGGCTGTCTAAAGCTTTTAAGTGCCTTAGTCAGAGCCAAAAATTCTTATTCATCAGAAAGGATTTTGTGGGTAAAAGGAAAGTTTTGGACTAAGTTTTTTAAACTTCTTGAATAGGGCCAGAGTCAAATTTATAGTAAATAAAACTTAGTGACTTATGGCAGCATTTTCCACAATACCCAAAAGTGGAAGCAACCAATGTGCCCATCACAGATGCACGGCTGAACAGAATATGGTCTATCCAATGATAGATTATTCAATCTTAAAAAGGAAGAAAGTTCTGACACGTGCTACAATATGGATGAACCTTGAGGGCTTTACGCTAAGTGAAAGAAGTCAGTCACAAAAAAGGACAAATACTGCATGACTCTATAGAGTGGTAAAATTCATAGAGACAGAAAGTAGAATGATGGTCGCCAGGGGATAGGGGGAGGAGGGAATTGGAAGTTATCATTTAATGGGTACAGAGTATAAATTTGGAAAGGTGAAACAAGTTCTAGAGACGGATGATAGTGATGGTTGCACAACAATGTGAATGTACTCAATGCCACTCACCTGTCCACTTAAAAATGGCTAAAATGGTAAATTTTATGTCATGTATACTTTACCACAATAAAAAAAAGCTTAGTGGGAATAATATTGTGTTATTTTGTAAAAGTTTGCGTGTTAAAAAATCACATTGTGGGGGAAGCACTCACAAGAAAAATGTTCTGTTGTTTGAATCAACCAGGAAACCCTTCACACAAAGCACATTAATCACAGAAAAGTCTCTGAGAAGACCTGCATTGAAATTATACTACATTGTTTAACCCAGCATTTCATATGTGTATTTTGAGTCTAGGACACTTCTTTCCAAAGATTTCTTAAATACCCATCAGAACTGGTATTCTGCGAAATATCAGTTTGGAAAGCACCATTTTAAACTATTCTCCTATCTGTATAGTAACTGTGTCTAGAAAGTAATGAAAGATTTTCTTCATGGACTTTGGAAGTGCAGTTCTTTATAGAAATACCTCAGAACTTTATGACGGCAATTAGAGATTAATTATTTTGTTATGTTTTGTTGTTTCAATAAAGAGACCACAAGAAAAAGCTCTCCAGGAGTTGAAAGGTCCTCTGGCTACTACTTGAAAATTTTTAGTTGTTAATTCAAACAACTATTCAAAATTCAACTATTAATTAATAGTTGTTTGAATTTTGCTGATAATGGAGGCACCACCACTGTTACCTTAGTGGTAGCTACATGGTTTGCAGGCATGTGACCTGCAAATACAAATCAGTCAATTGACAGTAACCATCACCCAAATGGCTTTCCTTATCTGCCAGGGCTTCCCTTCAAGTTGCCTGTTGTGAGTTGTCTGCGGGTCCCACTTGGATGGAGAGGTTTATGTAAGAAACAGTCTCATTCTCACAGTTATTATTTTATGCTTAGATTTTCCCTACATCTCCAATCATGAATAGTTGCAGAAAAGAAATTCTCTCACAGTGTATCTCATGCTCATGAGCCAACATTTTGAGCAAATTATTTTTACTTTCTGGAAATAAGGAACTTGGACTAGATTACAAAAGTCCTATTACCTTTTAAAAAAATCACTTTTTTTTCAGATAAAAGCATAATTTTCCTTCTTGGCAAATCAATATTTCTTTATCTTATTAAAATTTCAGGCCTAGATATTTCTTGTTTTATAAGAACTAGCATTTTGAATACAGGGGTTTTTTCAAGTTTAAAAAATCAATATTGTTTAATGTCTACAACAATACTGTGTTTATTTGCTGAATTTTTAAAAATTAATTTTTTGTGAGTACATAGTAGGTATATGTATTATGGGGTACATGATATGTTTTGATACAGGCACGTGGTGTGGAATAAGCACATTGTGGGGAATGGAATATCCATTATCCTTTGAGTTACAAACAATCAAATTACACTGTTTAAGTTATTTTAAAATAAATACAATTTACAGTTGCAAATAGTATTTACAATTAGGTTATTATTGCACAATTAGGTTATTATTGACTACAGCTACCCCATTGTGCTGTCAAATAGTAGATCTTATTCATTCTTTCTGTTTTTTTGTACCCATTAACCATCTCTACCTCCCCCCACCACACCCCTGCCCTTCCTGGCCTCTGGTAACCATCCTTCTACTCTATACGTTCATGAATTCAATTGTTTTGATTTTTAGATCCCACGAATAAGTGAGAACATGCGATGTTTGTCTTTCTGTGTCTGGCTTATTTCACTTAATATAATGATCTCCAGTTCCATCCATGTTGTTGCAAATGACAGGTTCTCATTCTTTTTTTATGGCTGAATAGTACTCCATTGTATATGTGTACCACATTTTATTTATCCATTCATCTGTTGATGGACACTTAGGTTGCTTCCAAATCTTAGCTATTGTAAACAGTGCTGCAACAAACATAGGAGATCAGTATATCTCTTCAATACACTGATTTCCTTTCTTTTGGGTTTATGCCCTGCATGGGATGCTGGATCATATGGTAGCACAATTTTTAGTTTAGAAACCTCCAAACTGTTCTCCATAGTGGTTGTAATAATTTACATTCCAACCAACAGTGTACAAGAGGTCCCTTTTCTTCACTCCTTACCAGAATTTGTTATTGCCTGTCTTTAGGATATCAGGACACTCGCCTCAATCTACCCAGACTCAAAGAGTTGTGGGTGTTTCCTTTTCTCTGCAACCTTGCCAACATCTGTTATTTTTTGACTTTTTGACAATAGCCATTCTGACTGGTGTGATACTGTTGGTGAGAGTTTAGTTCAATCATTGTGGAAAGCAGTATCATGATTCCTCAAAGAACCAAAAGCAGAACTACCATTTGATCCAACAATCCCATTACTAGGAATATAAATCATTCTACAATAAAGACACTTGAAAGTGAATGCTAACTGCAGCACTATTCACAATAACAAAGACATGGAATCAACCTAAATGTTCATCAATGACTGATTGGATAAAGAAAATGTGGTACATATACACCATGGAATACTATGCAGGCATAAAAAAGAATGAGATCATGTCTTTCGTGGTAACATGGATGGAGCTGGAGGCTATTATCCTTAGCAAACTAATGCAAGAACAGAAAACCAAATACCACATGCCCTCACTTTTAAGTGATAGCTAAATTATGAGAACTCATGAACACAAAGAAGGGAACAACAGACATTGGGGTCTAGTTGTGGGTGGAGGGTGGGAGGAGGAGGGAGGCAAGCAGAAAAGAAAACTATTGGGTTCTGGGCTTCATGCATGGGTGATTAAATAATCTGTACAACAGATCCTGGTGACATGAGTTTGCCTATGTAACAAACCTTCATGTGTACCTCCAAACCTAAAATAAAAGTTTAAAAACTAAAAATAAAAAACAAAATAAAATAAATGAGTAAAGATTTACTTCTTCCAAGAGCTTACATACTACCTTATTGAGGAATGTAGATTGTATAAAACATACTCGAATTCATTAACTCCTTTGTTGCATCCTCAAGGACACTATAAAGTAGATAAGGTAGATTTTTAAAGATGGAAGTCCCAGATAAGATTGAATATTTATTGATTAACTAATTCTGTTATTGGATCATATTCCAGGCACCATGAGATACAGTTTGGATATTTGTCCCCACCCAAATCTCACGTTGAATTGTAATCTCCAATGCAAGAGGTGGGGCTGATGGGAGGTGTTTGGGTCGGGGGGTGGATCTCTCATGACTTGGTATTGTCTTCACAATAGTGAGTGACTTCCCACAAGATCTGGTCATTTAAAAGTATGTGGCAACAATCCCTGCGCAATTTCTCTCTCTTGCTCCTGCTTTCACCATATGATACGCCTACTCCCTGTTTGCCTTCCACCATGATTTTAAGCTTCCTGAGGCCCCCCTAGAAGCTGAGCATATGTTGGCACCATGCTGCTTGTAAAGCCTGCAGGACCATGAGCCAGTTAAACCTCTTTTCTTTATTTAAAAAAAACTACAACTTTTTGTTTTGTTGAACTTTTGTATTCTTGTTTTATGTTAATTTCATTTATTTATGCTCCAATCTTTATTATTATTGTTCTTTTTCTAATTTTCAGTTTGGGTTGCTCTTGTTTGTCTAGTTCTTTAAGATGCATCATTAGATTATTCATTTGAAGTTTTTCCTCTTTTTTTGATTTAGGCACTTACAGCTATAAACTTCCCTCTTGGTGCTGATTTTGCTATATCTGATAGGCTTTTGTATGTTGTATTTGCATTATCATTTGTTTCAAGAAAATTTTCAATTTCCATCTTAATTTCTCCATTGAACCACTGGTCATTCAGGAGCATATTGTTTAATTTCCATGTGTTTGTATAGTTTCCAAAATTCCTCATTACTAATTTCCAGTTTTATTCCATTGTGGTCAGAGAATGTGCCTGATATTGTTTCAATTTTGTTGAATGTTTTAAGACTTGTTCTGTGACCTAACATGTGTTCTATCCATGTGCTGAGGAACAGAATGCGTATTCTGCAGCTTTTGGATGAAATGTTCTGTAAATATCTACAGGGCTATTTTATCTGTAGTGCAAATTAAATCTAGTATTTCTTTGTCGATTTTCTGCTTGGAAGCTTTTTCCAATGCTTAAAGTGGGGTGTTGTGGTTTCCACCTATATTATGGTATTAAAAAGGCCTATCTCTCTCTTTAGCTCTAATAATATTTGCTTTATAAATCTGGGTACTCCAGTGTTGGCTGCATATATATTTAAAGTTGTTATATGCTCTTGCTGAATTGCCCCTTTTGTTATCATATAGTTGCACACAGTGTTTATATCTCTCATACTCACAGAATACTTTTCTTAACACAGCAACAGTTATGTTCTTTTGCCACACTTTTGTCACTGGGTTTCTGATAAATTGTTCTTAGAAAAGGCGAAAATTTTAAAAGCTCAGCTATTTCAGAAGTGAACAGAACATTTAAATGAAACAAAGTGAAATTTCAAAAACACCTATAAGTGGTAACATTCAAAGACAATCAATAAAATAATTGAAGTAGAGTGTAAAACTTCCAGACCAAACATGCCACGAATGGAATATTTTTAAAAATGAGAAAAGTCATAGAAAAAAAACAGAGTAGAATGGTAGAAACAAGCCCAAATATTTTAATAATCAGTAAAGTGAAAATGAGTTAAACATGCCAGTTAAAATAGACTTAGACTGGATTTGAAAACAGTAATACAAAATTCTGCCCGTGCTTTTATAAAAACATGCCTGAAACTTAAAGTCCTGAAAAGGTTAAAAGTAAAAAGGCTAGAAAAAAGATGAAATACCTAAATCCTAAACAAAAAACGCTGACAACAAGATATTAATCTCAGATAAAATAGACTTTAAGACATAAAGCATCTTTAGGAGTAAATAGGTCTCTAAGTAATGCTTAAAAAGCTTAAGTACCTAAAAGCTACCTTAACATATTTCAAAAATATAAAGCAAAAATTGATAAGGTACCTAGAATTACCATGAGAAATGAGCACATTCAGCATCAGAATGGAGGATTTTAATTTTAAAAAGTTAAATTATTGAGAGGTGAAACAGACAAATATTAGGGTGTGGTTAGGATTAACTGATAATGTGTGTCATTTAGCTTTTTAATTTGATAGAATGCCTATTTAGTGCTAGACACTATTCCAGACTTCGGGTCAGAGTGGTGACATACAGATATGGTCCCTGATCTCATGGGACTGACAGTCCAGGTCCTAGGGCTGATGGAGAAGGATGTTCACAACACCCCCTCACCATGACATGGAATTTGGAGGTATAGCTTAGTGGTTAAGTTTGCACACTTTGAATGGAGATCTTGTTGGGCCTTGTCTCTAGCATACAGGAATTGCATGGTTTGAGATGATCATTTAATCTCTGGCCACTCATCTATAAAGTGGATGCAATGCCTATCTCCAAGTGCTGGTGAATAATACTATGTAGGGTATTTGAAGCTCTTAGCACAATGCTTGGCATTAACTCTCAGTAGTTGGTCACACTTATCATCACCTGTCATTTTGCTAAATCTTTGAATCAACAGTTGCTGCTGAACCAGATGGTCGAGCTTTAATAACACCGTGATTCATAAGTAATGATATTTTGTGGATGAGTATTGAATGAGTCAATCTATTTTCCCACAAATCCTAATTTTCCAGTTTTTTATTCTTTTTAGCCAGCTTCATAGTTTTGCATATTTGGGACTTGTGGTTGGTGAAACTGAATGCTATGGTTGCTTTCTGTTTTTTTTTTTTTTTTTTTTTTTTTTTAAGATGGAATCTTACTCTGTCGCCTAGGCTGGAGTGCAGTGTGCAGTGACACGATCTCGGCTCACTGCAACCTCCACCTCCCGGGTTCAAGTGATTCCCCTGCCTCAGCCTCCCGAGTAGCTGGGATTATAGGCACCTGCCACCGCACCCAGCTAATTGTTTTGTATTTTTAGTAGAGATGGGGTTTCACCATATTGGCCAGGCTGGTTTCGAACTTCAGACCTCAAGTGATCCACCCGCCTCAGCCTCCCCAAGTGCTAGGAATACAGGTGTGAGCCACCGCGCCCTGCCTGTGGTTGCTTTTGACAGTTCTTTGTGTGCTCGGAACCTAAGAATCAGATTATGCATGTGTCTTACTTAGCATCCTGGTCAAAATGGCCACTTCCCACCCCTCTCCACATGACTAGACGTTCTAACATTACATTTGCATAAAACTCAGAATTGGAAACTACTAACTTAAAAAAACATTCTTTTATCAGTGGCTGCCCGGTTATGAGCTCCTACTTCATTTTAAGGGATCAGCACCAAATATGGCCAGGAATCAAAACAGAGACCTTAGTGCATTTCTGCCATGTGTATGTAATTCCTTTAATACACCAATAAATATTTACTAAATGCTTCTGAAATGTCATACTCTTTTTTATTTCAGAAATGGTGGAGAATAAGTTGTGATTCCTACTCTGGAGAATCTTACTGTTTAGGGGGAGGAATCAGGCAGGTATAAAAAATAATTCTGCTCCCTCTAAGAGCAAGAACAAGGCAAGGATGTCTACTCTCACCACTTCTTCTCAACATTGTTCCAAAAATTCTAATCAGTGTAATATGGTGGACATCACAGAGAAATAGAAGGCATAAATATTGGAAATAAATAGTTAAAACTCTTTATTCTCAGACTAATAAAAACAACTAGGGCAAGTGAATTTATCAATGTCATAGGGTATGAGGTCAGTATGCAAAAATCAGTTGTATTTCTATATATTAGCAATGAAGCATTGGGAAACAAAATTTACAAAGCAATACCACTTATAATAACACCAAAAATATAAAGTACTTAGGAATAAATTTAACTGAAGATCTTCAAGTCCTTTACATTGAAGATTCCATGGCATTGTGGAGATATTAAAGACCTAAGTAAATGAAGTGATATACCATGTCCATGAATTAGAAGGCTCACTGTTGTTTTTTTGTTTTTGTTTTTGTTTTTTTTTTTTTTGAGACGGAGTCTCGCTGTTGCCCATGCTGGAGTGCAGTGGCGTGATCTCGGCTCACTGCAGGCTCCGCCCCTCAGGGTTCTCGCCATTCTCCTGCCTCAGCCTCCCAACTAGCTGGGACTACAGGCGCCCGCCACCTCGCCCGGCTAATTTTTTGTATTTTTAGTAGAGATGGGGTTTCACCGTGTTAGCCAGGATGGTCTCGATCTCCTGACCTCGTGATCCACCCACCTCGGCCTCCCAAAGTGCTGGGATTACAGGCGTGAGCCACTGCGCCCGGCCGGAAGGCTCACTGTTGTTAAGATGTTAGTTCTCCCCAAATTGGTCTATAGAAATATAATATCAAACAAAATCCCAGTTGAAATTTAGAAGCTGATTTTAACACTGACATAAAAATTCAAAAGACCTAGAATATCCAAAACAATCTTGAAAAAGAACAGGGTTGGAGAACCTTTGTTTTCTAACTTCAAGACTTATAAGAAAACAGAATATTTTTGTGATCTTGGAGTAGAAAAAAATTTATTTATTTATTTTTTTATTTATTTTTATTTTTTATTTATTTATTTTTTATTTTATTATTATTATACTGTAAGTTTTAGGGTACATGTGCACAATGTGCAGGTTAGTTATATATGTATACATGTGCCATGCTGGTATGCTGCACCCATTAACTCGTCATTTAGCATTAGGTATATCTCCTAATGCTATCCCTCCCCGCTCCCCCCACCCCACAACACCCCAGAGTGTGTTGTTTCCCTTCCTGTGTCCATGTGTTCTCATTGTTCAATTCACACTTATGAGTGAGATCATGCGGTGTTTGGTTTTTTGTCCTTGTGATAGTTTACTGAGAATGATGATTTCCAATTTCATCCATGTCCCTACAAAGGACATGAACCCATCCTTTTTTATGGCTGCATAGTATTCCATGGTGTATATGTGCCACATTTTCTTAATCCAGTCTATCATTGTTGGACATTTGGGTTGGTTCCAAGTCTTTGCTATTGTGAATAGTGCCGCAATAAACATATGTGTGCATGTGTCTTTATAGCAGCATGATTTATAGTCCTTTGGGTATATAGCCAGTAATGGGATGGCTGGGTCAAATGGTATTTCTAGTTCTAGATCCCTGAGGAATCGCCGCACTGACTTCCACAATGGTTGAACTAGTTTACAGTCCCACCAACAGTGTAAAAGTGTTCCTATTTCTCCACATCCTCTCCAGCACCTGTTGTTTCCTGACTTTTTAATGATTGCCATTCTAACTGGCGTGAGATGGTATCTCATTGTGGTTTTGATTTGCATTTCTCTGATGGCCAGTGATGGTGAGCATTTTTTCATGTGTCTTTTGGCTGCATAAATGTCTTCTTTTGAGAAGCATCTGTTCATGTCCTTTGCCCACTTTTTGATGGGGTTGTTTGATTTTTTCTTGTAAATTTGTTTAAGTTTATTGTAGATTCTGGATATTAGTCCTTTGTCAGATGAGTAGGTTGCGAAAATTTTCTCCCATTTTGTAGGTTGCCTGTTAACTCTGATGGTCCCTGGGATGCAAGGCTGGTTCAATATATGCAAATCAATAAATGTAATCCAGCATATAAACAGAACCAAAGACAAAAACCACATGATTATCTCAATAGATGCAGAAAAGGCCTTTGACAAAATTCAACAACCCTTCATGCTAAAAACTCTCAATAAATTAGGTATTGATGGGACGTATCTCAAAATAATAAGAGCTATCTATGACAAACCCACAGCCAATATCATACTGAATGGGCAAAAACTGGAAGCATTCCCTTTGAAAACTGGCACAAGACAGGGATGCCCTCTCTCACCACTCCTATTCAACATAGTGTTGGAAGTTCTGGCCAGGGCAATTTGGCCGGAGAAGGAAATAAAGGGTATTCAATTAGGAAAAAAGGAAGTCATATTGTCCCTGTTTGCAGATGACATGATTGTATATCTAGAAAACCCCATTGTCTCAGCCCAAAATCTCCTTAAGCTGATAAGCAACTTCAGCAAAGTCTCAGGATACAAAATCAATGTACAAAAATCACAAGCATTCTTATACACCAATAACAGACAAACAGAGAGCCAAATCATGAGTGAACTCCCATTCACAATTGTTTCAAAGAGAATAAAATACCTAGGAATCCAACTTACAAGGGACGTGAAGGACCTCTTCAAGGAGAACTACAAACCACTGCTCAAGGAAATAAAAGAGGATACAAACAAATGGAAGAACATTCCATGCTCATGGGTAGGAAGAATCAATATCGTGAAAATGGCCATACTGCCCAAGGTAATGTATAGATTCAATGCCATCCCCATCAAGCTACCAATGCCTTTCTTCACAGAATTGGAAAAAACTACTTTAAAGTTCATATGGAACCAAAAAAGAGCCCGCATCGCCAAGTCAATCCTAAGCCAAAAGAACAAAGCTGGAGGCATCACGCTACCTGACTTCAAACTATACTGCAAGGCTACAGTAACCAAAACAGCATGGTACTGGTACCAAAACAGAGATATAGATCAATGCAACAGAACAGAGCCCTCAGAAATGAGGCCGCATATCTACAACTATCTGATCTTTGACAAACCTGACAAAAACAAGCAATGGGGAAAGGATTCCCTATTTAATAAATGGTGCTGGGAAAACTGGCTAGCCATATGTAGAAAGCTGAAACTGGATCCCTTCCTTACACCTTATACAAAAATTAATTCAAGATGGATTAAAGACTTAAACGTTAGACCTAAAACCATAAAAACCCTAGGAGAAAACCTAGGCATTACCATTCAGGACATAGGCATGGGCAAGGACTTCCTGTCTAAAACACCAAAAGCAATGGCAACAGAAGCCAAAATTGACAAATGGGATCTAATTAAACTAAAGAGCTTCTGCACACCAAAAGAAACTACCATCAGAGTGAAAAAAATTTCTTAAATAGAGTAACCATTAACCATAAAATAATTGATAAGTTGTGCTAAAACAAAATTGAAAATTTCTCATCAAGAAACATCATTAAGCAAGTGACTAGGCAAGCAACAGACTGGGAAAAGATGCTTAAGATGAATGTATACCTCAAGCAGGTACTTGAATTCAGAATATATACAGAATTTTTACAGTTCAATAATGCAAAGACAAAAATCTCAATGTAAAACAGACACTGTGCAAAAGAAGATGTAGAAATTGTTAATAAGCAATGAAAACATGTTCAAAATCAGGGAAGTAATGAAAACCACAAGACACCGCTTGACAACTACTCAAATGGTTAAAAGGAGAGATTGATGACAATAAATATTAGACAGGATGTGGAGTAGCTAAAATTCTTATATGTTGCCAGTGAGAGTATAAAATGTTATGCCCACCTTGAAAGACTACCTAGAAGTTTCTTACGAAGTTAAACACACACCTATTCTGTTACCCAGCATAACAGAAGAGTGGATAAATAAGTTGTGGTGTATTCTTACAATGCAATACTATTCAGCAATAAAAAAATGAATTACTAAATAAATGAATCTCAAAAACATGCTGAGTGAAAGAAGCCAAATACAAAAGAATAAATACTCCATGATTCCATTTATATGAAATTCTATAACAGACAGAAGTAATGCATAGTGATAGAAATAAGAACAGTAGCTGCTACTGTTGGGGGCAGGGAGTGGGGATTGATTGGAAAAGGGATGAAAGAACTCTCTGGAATGACACAAATTGTGGGGGCAAAACGAGTGTACATATTTGCCAAAAATTATTGAACTGTATACTTAAGATTTGTGCCTTTAATGGTATATAAATTTAAAAGAAGGAAATAACTCTATTAAAAGGTAGCCATTTATAATTTTACCAATGCTTAAGTAGCAAACTCAAATATCCTATTCTCCGATTACATTCTCCTTGGCCTCATGAAGCACTCCACAGTACCTTGTATTCAGGTACAAGTCAATGGACCATTACTATAGGCCCTCCCTTGCAGATACCCTCAACTCTCTCACCTCTTTCCTCCTATTACATGTGCCTGTTGCAACTCAATTCTGCATAAACCTATTCACTGCCTTTTCCATGCCTGCCTCCATGCAGTTGAAACTGTGCAACAGTCCCACAATTGGGTAGATTGATGTGACTTTTCACTTCTGTGATAACAAGTACTACTCTAGGCTCATGATTTCCAACCTCAAATGGGAAACTGGCACTGCCAGTCACCACACAGCCGAGATAAGTCCATTCTTTGACTCTCCTCAAGGAATATTTGTACATTCTCCAGTTTTCCAGCTGTATTCATCTTACCCTGTATTCCTCTCAGCTAACGACCTTGTCTCATATTAATTAAAAACAAAACACACAAACACCACCCCACCCTCACCCCAAATCCCACAGTGTACAATACAGAAACTCTACCTGTTTCTCTCCACTACCAAATTCAAACACCTGGTGGCATCACCACCCAATTTTTCTCCTTCATTACTGTTTCTGGGAAGAGATTTCATTTCCTCTGCAAAGTCAGACTCCCCATTTGTGCTCTGATCCCTCCCCCTTTTTGCCATATCAGCCGGTTTTGTTCCATCGTTAACATTTCCATCTTTACTCTCTATTGGATTTATCCAATAATTATTCAGACATTTGTACATTACCATCTTTATCCTAATCATCCCCAGCTATTGCCCCCATGCTCTGTCTCCCTTAACTGCACTTCTTGCAAGAGTTGTCTGCAGTCTCATCCTCACCTCTCATTTAATCCTCACTGTATTCAGTTTTGGTTTCTGCCTCTTCCATTTCATAGAAATGGATTTTGCGAAGGGCACTTTGTGCTGCCAAAGCCAGTGTCCTCATCGCACTGGACTTTTCTGCGGTAGTCTAGGCTGTTAAACACTTCTTTCCGGAAACATGCTTCATCTCTTGGCTTCCTTAACACCAGACCCCCAAGTTTTCTCCCAGCTTTCTGGTCTTCTCAGACTCTTTTGCCAGCAGCCCTTTCTCCCCACTACCCCAACTGAACTCTAATATTTGAGTTATTTAGGGAGCAAGCAGTCCACAATCCTCTTCTCTTCTTGCTTTAAATTTGCATTCCGCCCATTCCCATGACTTTGGATTTTACTATATACTGTGATCCTTAAACAAACATTTGTAGCCTGGACCTTTATTCCAGGCCCCAGACTCTCACTTTCAACAACTTACTCTACATTTCTATCTCAGAGGGCTCACAGAAATCTCACAATGAACATGTCCCAAGAAAAAATTTGATTCCCTTATTCCCACCCCTTCATCATTCTTTCTCTTCTGGGTGAATTGGACTTAGGAAGAACCAACTCCATCTTTCTTGCTACCTTTTTCTGACTCATTGCTCCTCCCAACATATTCTAATTCATCACAAATTGCTATCAGTTCTGCCCCTAAAACATGTCTTAAAATTATTATGCACATGTCCATGTCCATCTCCGCAGGTCCAACCCAAGTCACATCATCTTTTGCCTGACTGTTGCCTGAATAACTCCTGCCTCTCTTCAATCCACTCTCCATGTGGTAGCCAGGTAATTAAACAAATGGATATAGGACAATGTCTCATGCTCACACACAAACTCCCCCAGCCACTGAATACTATCAACGTCTTATGTCATGTAAAACACAATCTAAAACTCTTAACATGATCTCAGGCATGCTTTAGCTTTCCTCACCAACTTCCCCTTGAATTGCTTTTCTACTCACTCGCTACAGTAATTTCCCTCCTCTCATTGGTCCCTCAGGTATACCAAACTCTTGTCATCTCAGCGAGTCTGTACAACCTGTTCGCTCTGCCTGGAACATTCTTTCCACCACTTTTTGCCTGGCTAACTCTGAGTCAACTCTCAATTCCAACAATACTTCCTCAAAGTGGCCTTATTCTGTCTCTGAAAGAGTTCTGAGAGGCCAGTCTTTCCTACTGTAACCTGTAGGCCAGTTTGTATTAATAAATATATATTTATTTGTGTGTTGATTACAATAAATATATATTTATTTAATGCTAGCTTTCTCTAGAGATATTTGATCTCCACAAGGCCTGTTTTGTTTACCATTGTATATCAGTGGGTGCACTTCCTGGCCTCTAGTAGATGCTCATAATTATTTGTTGAATGAATATGAGGTACATAATGATAAGTTCTCCAACCTCAGGCCTGGATCAATTGTCTGTTTTTCTGTGTAACTGTCCCAAATCCCCTCCAGGCAGGGTGTATGGTTTACTCTGACGAAGTTCTATTCGATAGCCCTCTGTGTTTACATTTACAGTGCTAGTAATGGTAGATGTCACTAATATTCACAAATATCCCATGCCCCTCCACTTTGAGTTATAGATAGGATTATACTTTCTTGCTGTGTTAGATTAAGTTTTGCCCCCAGTATCTGCTGCCTCTGTGTGATAAGATTATTCTACTTCCCTACCTTTGCCATCAGTCTTGGCCACATGAGAGGTGGTGCCCCTCCACATAGGAGGATTATGCTTCTCTGGTATCAGATATTGACCATGAAACTCATTTTGGTCCACAAGTAGAAGTGAAGAATGCCACTCCTGAGCAGAAGCATTAGAGCTATTACATCAGCCCACAGACTTTCTTTTCTATCTATAATGAGAGTGACATTGTCTCACATAGAGGCTGCTCCTTCAGCCTGGAGCCCAGGGTATTAGATGACCACAGGATGTATGAGAGAGAAAAAAAAAATCACTATTTCTATAAATGCTTGAGACTTGGGTGATCATTCCCACAGTTTAACACAATCTAAGCTGACTGATGGACATACCTCCTTAAAGTTATCTGCAACTGGTTCTGCCAACAAAATATGAGAAGTCATATGTATCACTTCCAGGCAGGTTTAGTTTGGTTGAATCTCTCCAGGCTTGAGAAGTCAGGGCCTCTGGGCCCAAATGCAGTAAGACAGTAAAGAATCAGGAACAAAACATTAAGCATATTAGATATGTATGTCTTAGTAAAGAGAGAGAATGAGAATACAGTTATACTTTGATCCTCTAACCCAAATCCATACTGCTGGCCTTTGGGCCACTAAGCATTTTTATTGGATAGGACCTGATCTCCTGATCTGTAAGGGTCCTGAATCCCTGGATATCTTTTTTTTTTTTTTTTTTTTTTTTTGAGATGGAGTCTTGCTCTGTCGCCCAGGCTGGAGTGCAGTGGCGCAATCTCGGCTCACTGCAAGCTCTGCTTCCTGGGTTCATGCCATTCTCCTGCCTCAGCCTCCCGAGAAGCTGGGACTACAGGCACCCGCCACCACGCCCAGCTAATTTTTTTGTATTTTTAGTAGAGACTGGGTTTTATTGTGTTAGCCAGGATGGTCTCCATCTCCTGACCTTGTGATCCGCCCGTCTCGGCCTCCCAAAGTGCTGGATTCACAGGCATGAGCCACCGCACCCAGCCAGATCCCTGGATATCTGAGACCACTTAGTCCAATCTCTGAGACCACTTAGTCCACAAGTGATAGGAAGGAGTACTTACTTCCACAGTTTGGCCCAAGACAGGCCTCACAGGAGGAGTTCGTGCTCTCTCTCTCTCTCTCTGCCTGCTGGTGGTCATTGCTGTGTCTCAATGTGGGATTCAGAACCTTTTCCCTAGAAGGTGCTGAGAGAACATCATTACTTTATTGGTAGGTGCACACGGCCAGGAAGTCTTTGGGAGAGTGGCATAAAATACGTATAAAATACTGCCAAGCTCCAACTTCTGCTTTCAGAAACACTTCTTGATACTTGCTCTAATCCTGGCATTAACAAACATTGTCTTCTTACAACCACCAGGTAAGGAAACTATTACTGTCTCCATTAAATAATGGGGACATAGGGTCAGAGAGTATAAAGATCTTGCCAATGGATGCAGAGCTAGTGAGTTGTGAACCTGAGATCTACAAACATTTGAATTCTTGCTTCTTCTTCTTCTCCTCTGTCTCTCTATCCCTTCCATTCTGTATGTTACTGAAAATGCACAGACCACTACTAATCTCTAATATCTCCTTCTCTAAATCTCATCCCTAGGATCTTTTTCTTTGAAAGCTCTTCCTTCTGGTCTGGTATTGAAGGATATTTTTCAGTCTCCTGAAAATAGTTCCTTTGTGACAAAAATTAGTTCTTACAAGTGTAATGGAAGAGCTCTGAGAGGCAAGTTTTGGAGTCAAAACAGCAGAGCCTTCTTTCCCAATTCCTGTCGGTTACTCGGGCATAGGTTGTGCCAGCAAAAACAAGCTTCGGGCCCCCATAGGAAACCAGGGAGGCACAGGGCTCGGTTGGAGCTGCTGGCTCGAGACCTTCCTAGGTATCACCCAGTGTCTATCTGTGTACCACAGGTGCTGCAGAAGAGAAAAAGCCTGCTGCAGGCCCCTCTCCCCAGAACGTGTCCCAGAACTAATTGTAGGTGATGTCTCCTGAGTCAAAGAGCACACCATAATTAGGGGGACATGCTGGGGCTGCCACAGACATCCACATCTTAGACGGTGCCACCCACTGTGCCTGCTGGCTGCTGCCGTGTCTTTTCTCAAGCTGATCTACCGGCTCTTGATGGTGACTAATTGTCAGCTTGTGGTTCTGCTGGACATTTCAAGGCCTGTCATAGTTGGGCCTTGAGGAAGCTCCTGGTGGAATTTTGAATGGCACACCTGAGTTCTGTTAAGCTTTGTACAGAAGCAGTGTCTTCCCACCCTTTCCTTGCTGTTTCCTCTCTTTTCAGTGGGTGCTGACAGGAAAGGGATGGATCTCCAGGCCCTAATTGAGGGAGAAGGCGGGTTCTGTGCACGTGAAGATGAGTCTTTAATTTAGGTCAGACAAATGACTGATTTTTGCAGTTGATATCTGACTCTCACGCCTTATTCTTTAGCTCTGGAAAACTGGCCTTCACAGACACAAGTTGGTATTAATGTAGGTATTCCTTATCTGGTTCTACAAATGCTGATGCAGCGCCATGCTTCCAACACAATGTAAAAGTGAATCATAGCTGCCCCACTGCACGGCTAAGCAGTAAGGGACTTGAGTGTGAGACCTTTGCTTCCTGAAGGGGCAAAGAGGAAACCTAGGAAGAGCTTTGAGAGGGGAAAAGCAGCAAGCAGAGGGGCTTCTCCTTTCTCAGCGGGAAATGAGAGAGAGTGTCTCACTTTCCAGGGCTTTTGGTGGAGTTGGGGAAGACAAGTCCATGGTCTGGCCCATTCTCAGTGACTTCTTGCCAGCACTGACTCACCTGGCTTGTGTAGAATTAAGTTGGCATCATGCCACAGGAAACCACAAGGCCACAGAGGTGGGCAGGAGTGCCTGGCTCATCCTCCGTCTGCTAGAATTGGTTTTTTTGAACTACTTTCTGACTTCCTCCTTCATCTTCACCGAGACCGCTTTTCCCACCTGTCCCTTTCTCAGCCCTTCCTTATGGATTCATTTGTCCATTTCTGGACTGCTTCCTTCCTTTAGCAAGCATTCTTTCCAAATCCCTTCAGAAGTGTTCCTTGTGAGATAGTTTCCAGCAATCATTGCCCTCAGAGGTTGAAACCTTGAGTCACTCCCATGTGACCTCCCGTTTTCTGGAAAGTCCTAGTTCACTTAAGCCAGCATGTCCAATGATTGGGGTTTATTTAGGTGGAACTCACTTCCCTGTCCCTGGATTTTCATTGTTGATTGTTGTGGTTTTGTTTTTCACACATTGGGGATTTCCTTCCTGACTCTTCCTTCTTGGCCCCAATCCACTGCTGATTAAATCTCTGTGTGGATCCTCCACCAGGCCCTGCATCAGCTGCTCTGTCGTGAGACCCACCTGAGTGCTCAGGTCTGAACCTCAGGGATCTAGTGGAGTAGAAGGAGTGCTGATTCTAGAACTAACAAGTGGGCTTCAAGTGAAAGTTCTGCTGCTTCGTCACTCTCAGAAACTATTTCTTCAGGAGAAAAT
Organism: Homo sapiens; assembly: GCF_000001405.40. Classification (NCBI taxonomy): domain Eukaryota; kingdom Metazoa; phylum Chordata; class Mammalia; order Primates; family Hominidae; genus Homo; species Homo sapiens. The sequence continues at coordinate 31,429,646 of NC_000002.12, read as the reverse complement.
GAGACTTACAATATCACATATATGAAGCTGCCATGAATTGATGTATATAAATAAACAAGAAAACCATATTAAACCACAGTGCATGGTCATAACAATGGCGAAGAGGAAGAAAAAGGAGAAGAGTGATGAGGAGAATAAGCACAAGACGACTTTCTCTTCCGGGTGAGAGGGAAGCAACCTTAGGTAGACTGTTTGAGAAGAATCAGTGGCTTTTCTTTACTGAGCAGAAGTCATTGAGCAAGTATTTACTGACCACTACTACATGTTAATGTGGATTCAAAAACAAGTAAGATCTGGTTTCTGTGTGATATGCCATAATAGACATAGGTATAAAATAACAATGGACATGAATGAAAGACCAGTGAGTTTCCCTAGGTGTGGTTGTGTGGGGAGTCCAAGGTCATAGGCTTTTAAGAGCTGGTTGCATTTAAGCTGAGCTTTACATGATTTTATTAGGGGAAAGGGAGTTCTAGGCTGAGCAAATGACCTGGGCAAAAGCATTGAGGTGTAAAACTGGCAGTAAGTTCAGGGAGCAAAGAGTAGTCTATTGTGGCCAAAGATGGTTTGTGTGGGTGAGGTAGTGGGAAATGAGGCTGGAAGGTGGGCTGGGTCCACATGGGTCCAGATGGCACAAGCTTGTGTGCTGAGGCCAGGGCGGGTTGTGCTGGGCTCTGTGAATCCTCAGTGCCTTTGGAGTCCTTCTGTTTGCATTGCTTTGAGTTTTAGGAGGGATTTCCCCCTAAACTGTGCATCTTTGCAACTTCTCAACATCTTTCCGTCCTCCTTGATTGTATTTATTCAAGCTGTGGGAACAGTACCACTTTCCAGGCCCTCTCCCACATTTGCAGGGCTCAAGGCAAGGGTACAAATGGAAGCTCATCAGCTAGGTGTTTTCATTCTTAACAGTTGTAAACTAACTTTAAAAAATGTTAAATCAGAATTTCTATGCTCCTCACTTGACAAGTATACTTTCATAATAACCCTGAAGATCAGGTTATAATTGATCATTTTCAGACTCTCCAGAAAACTGGTTTCCCCTGTCCTCACCATACTGTCTCCCCTCCCTAACTTGACTTCTCATCCCTAGCTTTGCCCCATTCTGTGACAATCCTCTCTCAAGCACATGGGTGGATAATATGGTCCACATATCTAAGGTATGCCCACTGCCCCAGTCGTCACCCCAGGGCACCTAGAGATATACATCTTGGGAGCCAAGTGGTGGACATACCAGAAGCACAGGTCCCCTCTGCGGTGATAGGCCAAGGGAAATGGCCAGACTGGGCCTTGGGAGTGAGCTGGAGGTCACTGGGCAGGGGCCCTGATCCACGGGGAGTGCTGTAAACAGAAAGTGACATAGGCTCTGAATGGTCACATTCCGTAGGCGCAATGAACTTCTCACCCAGTGGGGAGAGGCATAGCCACAGGCATGCCAGAGTAGAGCCCTCTAAAGAGCAGACCCAGGGCAGAGCCACCTCTTGTCTGGGCCTCCAGGTGGGGCTGTGAGCCACTTCTGTCTTTGGTGAGTCCACTTTCAGAGTTACTGGGCTGAGTTGGTAGAAGCATCAGACTTTGTCAGCAGGAAGTGTTCTTATCACCTCCATTTCCCAGTGGATAGAGAATGCACTCTATCCCTTGGTGGACAAGAGTCTTAGGATGACAGTATATTTTGTCATGCTACAAGAATATCAAGAAAATTTCAGAGGCTTACGAAAAGGAGGATTACTCAAGGATATTCTATATTAGGAAATACTGGTTCAAACAGTTACATGAAAACGACAAGCACAGTCTGGGCATGGTGGTTTACGCCTATAAGCCCAGCACTTTGGGAGGCTGAGACATGTGGATCACTTGAGGCCAGGAGTTCAAGACCAGCCTAGCCAACATGGTGAAGGCCAGGCTCTACCAAAAATACAAAAATTAGCCAGGTGTAGTGATGCATGCCTGTAATCCCAGCTACTCGGGAGGCTGAGGTAGGATAAACGCTTGAACTCAGGAGGTAGAGGTTGCAGTGAGCCAAGATTGCACCACTGCACTTCAGCCTGGGCAACACAGCAAGACTCCATCTCAAAAAAAAAACAAATAAAAAACCACAAAATGGACTGCAGAACTTTCATAATCTGGTATTATACTCTTTTCCTTAGCATTCCAGCTATTCCAATGCTGGACAAGTGGGAATATCCTGTAGCATGGACCCAACTTGCTCAGAAATGGGTGAGGATCAGATGGTGTGAATAAAAAGGCCACCAGAAAGGAGGATGCAAACACACCACACATGCACACACACACACACACACACACACACACACACACACACACACACACACAGGTATTATGTCATAATATCCATAAATGTTAGAGCTGGAAGGGTCCTTGAAGTTTTATAGATGGGAAAGGGGCTTGCCAAAAGTGACAGAGAGAGGAGCAAATCCTTGGCTTTCACCTGAGTCTCTCTTTTCCTAGACTGGGACTCTTTCCATGGTTTCATCACAACCTCATGTTTGGTTCCAAAATTCTCTAGACCAGTTAAATGGGGCCTCTGTCTGTTTATAACAAAGGCATGGAGAGGCTGATGAAATTTTTCCTAGGAAGAAGTACTCTCTTTTTCTCATTTGTCCTGAACAAGTTCACAATCTTTGCTTACAGACCCACCATTGAAGCACTCCCATTCAGCCCCAGGCAAGGCAATCCATGTATTTCCTGGGAACTGCTGCTTCACTGGCACCGCAGTCATGGCTATGGGGCCATGGGATGCATTCAAGGGGCAGCCAGCACCCAGATTCTTGTCACCCCAGTTCCTACTTCCACATGGGATTCTTAGAATAATAATGATGATCAGATGGAGATGACGAATAGGGGAAGTTTAATACAGTGACAATACCGATACTCATCAAGACTAGAAAATTATAGTTGCCAGATCACTAGAATTATTGACTATTCTGGTCTGGCTACTTAGCTGCAGATGGAAGACAGCCAAGAATCACAGGGAGAGGAAGCTTGACCAGGAGGCCATGAGCTGATCCCTGAGGTGACTATGGTTGCCATTCTATGTTTACCATTCTTTATGCCTGCCCCTCCTCTGCTGCTCTTCCTTCAGGTCTTCTGCCTTCCCTCTCTTCTGCTATTGTGCTAAGTCTATCGATTCCTCTGCTCAGATCCACAGACGTGACATATGGAGGGTCAAAACCTTCCCCATTGAGATCCATCTTCCTTCCATGTTTCAGGGAGCTTCCAAGCCACCAGGGACCACTGATTTCCAGAAGCCCCTGGTCCTCCTGAGAGAATGAGGAGCAAATCCAAGCACTGGGCAGACCCTGCAAGAGTGCCGCGCCTTCACCCTTCTCTGCATATCCTGGGCTCAGGGACCCGGGGGGAGTTGGCAGTGGCTAACAAGTTCCGTTCCATCTGCTGCTTCTGGCAGAGTGGACCTGGAACCTGGGGCCCTTCTCTAGGTCTCCCCGAGCCAAACTATCAAATGAATGACAGCTAAGATTCTATCGATTTCCCACCGTCTGGTTCTTTTCTTTCCCTGTGACATTTTTACACTCTGCATTTTAGTTTGGGTTTGCAGAATTTCACAAGATTCTTGTTCGATTTCCTTCCTCAAAGCACTTTATTGTGATTGTAACATTAAAAACAGAGAAACAAACCACGTCCATGAGTTTTTTTAAGACAGGCCTGAAAGCCTTGGAGCCTGCTGTGTCACACTACACGCTGTTTCATCTTCTACTCTCCTCACTCTGATTCTTCTAAGGCCAAACTTTCTCACTGCTGCTGCCAACCCTGCGTTAGTGAGACTCAATGAGATGGTTTTTCCTCTGCCCCCCACGCCTATACAGTGTAAAGGGGCCATCCTGGATGGTGTCCAGCTAGGAAAGCCCAGCCTCTGCTCTCTATTGCTGTCAGAAGATTCTAGAATCACAGGGGCTTGGGTTCGAGTCTTGATTATACCTTACCAGCCATGTGACTTTTTGTGACAACTTCTCTGAGTCCAGCCAGCTTCTTTATTTATTAAAAAATGTATCTCTCTCATAGGGATTTTTTGAAAAGTAAATGAGATAAATATGGAATGCCTGGCACATATTACACTCTTAATAAACTTTTGTCCTCCTCAAACTGTCTCTCACTATGGAGGTGATTTTGCCTTGGCCAGCAGGCTGGAGGCCTTCTGGGGAAGCATTGAAAGCAAGAACTTGTAGTCTCCTAAAAGAGCTTTAAGCTACTTACTAGATCAATAAAGAGATATGAATGTCTTAATTTACCCAATCCTCATAAAATGCACCAAAATAAAGCTAATGATACAAGAAATCCCCTTAAAATTCTCAACAAGGCTTGCTCAGTGTGCTGAGAGGCAACTGTGTTATTGTAGCTCATGAGATAAAATTTATGTTTCAGAAAATGCTAAATATTATGTCATGAACTTTCAGAATTACTCACAAATAGCCAAAATCTCAAATATTAACCCATAAATGCCAAACATCAACTTACTTTCAAAGCTCTGGAGAAAGGGGCAGACATTTTCCAAAAGTGTGAAAAAGAGTGGAAGGAAATGTCCCATCAGTAGAAGACAATATTGGCCAGGCATGGATCAAACCACCAGTAAGTGATTCCTGCAGTAGGGAAGACTCTATGGAGAAAGTCAGTCCAGTTTCCATTTCCTCTCCTTGAGTGTTGGGAAAACTAAACTTACTCTAGAGAACAGATCTGAGGTTGTCAGCTTGCCCTCTGTCCCTGATTGCTTTGGGGAATATGCTCCTTTTGGGGGTTATATGCCTAGGGATGCAAACAGTAGTTTAATGGACTTCTTTTTGCAGGAGAAAAGAGGTTCTTTTCTTTTTAAAAGTAAAACAAAGAAAATAACAGCATTAACGATACTGAGTTCCTGTGGAGAGTTCCAGTACAAGAACAAATTTAGAACAGGAACAGCAGGTGATCTTCCTGTAGCCTTTTGTGCTCTGAATTGACTTCTTAGAGTCCATTGTAATAAAACTAGGAAGTTGGCCCAAGCGATCTGGAGGAAGTGCTCAAATTTTCATATTACACTTATTTCAAATATATCAATATATCAGCCTGCATTTTGCATCTGTGTTAGGCCATTCTTGCATCGCTACAAAGAAATACCTGAGACTGGGTAATTGATAAAGAAAAGAGGCTTAATTGGCTTATGTTTCAGCTCTGCAGGAAGCATGGTGACAGCATGTGCTCAGCTTCTAGAGAGGCCTCAGGAAGCTTTTAATCATAGCAGAAGGCTAAGGGGAGCAGGCACGACACATGGTGAGAGTGGGAGCAACAGAGAGAGAGGGAGTCTCCACACACTTTTAAAAAGCTGGATCTCATAACTCACTCGCTATCATGAAGACAGCACCAAGCCGTGAGAGATCTGCCCCCATGACCTAAACACCTCTCACCAGGCTCCACCTTCAACACCGAAGATTACATTTCAACATGAGATTTGGGTGGGACAATTATCTAAATCATACTAGCATCCTTGCTCTGGGGAGTGGTGAAGTTTAGGAGGGTAAGTAAAGAGCTTGGGTTCAGTTTTTATAATGTTGGCTCATGGTTTATTTCTAAGATACAGTAAGGATACACTTTAAGCCTCTTTGTCCCTAGAGTTTACTCAGTGCCCAGCATAGTGCCTGACATATGTCATATGACGGAGCCTTGTTATGGTTGATCAGTAAATGGATGTGTAAATATTGCCTAGTGTAGAAGTTGCTCTGGAATCCATCCTTAAAACATAGTATGGGAATGGGGACACTTAAGGTTGAAGACCTGGGGATGAAAATAAGTTCTCCTAAGGACCTAACACCTGTTTGTGGTATGAATGGATGAAAAAGGGAAGTGATCAAATGAATGGTTCCACTCAGGTGTGGATTAGAGCCACAAGACAGAAAAGACTCAGATGAACTACCAAATATTTGACCTAGGAGGGACTTTCTAGACAGCATCAAGTTCAACTCTCCAACATCAGGTAGGAGGAAACCCTGAATAGTTAAGTAGCTAGTTCAAAGTCATCCAGCAAGTTAGTGTCAGGATCAAGATTCAAATGAAGGTCTCCAGTCTCCTAGTTGGGTGATCTTTCCACTACACTGCCTTTGCAACATGAACGGGATGGCTTGAAAATAAGAAACAGAAATAAAAGAAACACTTTATAAAAAAAGAAAAGAAAAGAAAATAAGTTCTCCTGAGGAGCCTATGAACCCCAGTGATACCATTTGCACACACAGCTTTGCATGAGGGCCAAGCCAGACATTTGAGCTATGCTCCTTTGCGTTTAACTAAAACCTGGTTCTGATATCGTTTTCATTCATTCATTTGTTATTCAACAAATACTTCTTGAATATAATAGTATGCCAACCATGTCCAGGCAGAGTTTAGCATTGAATAAAACAGATAATATCTCTGCCTTTGTGGAATTTATTGTATTAGTGAATGTAATACTAGAGGCAATAATAGATAAACCCAGAAATCTCAGTGAGCAAGCACAATAGAAATTTATTTTTTGTTCCTGTAAAGTCAATAAGCAACAAGGGTAGGGGGAAATGTTCAGCTCATTATATTTATTTAAGCACTTGAGTTTATTGAAAGCTCTGCTGTCTTCAATTTGTGACTTCCAACGTCACCCTGGTCATTGACATCAGTTGTCAGACAGTAGAAAAGACAGAATGGGAGCCTGGGCATTGTACACATCAGTTTTACCCATATTACATTCATCAATATTCAATCATGTGGCTTTAGCCACATATAAGGGAGCTGCAAAATGTAGCTCCTGGCTGGATAGTGACTTCCCAGCAGAAACTCTTCATTAGAGAAGGAGAGCATGAATATTTGGTGGGAAGATTGACATTCCTGCCACATTTACGTTCTGCTGGGTGCAGGAAGACAGACATTAAACATATAAGTGAGTGCACTATGTATCATTTCAGATGATAATAGTAAAAATAAATCAGGGGAAGGAATTAAGGGTGCAAATAGTCATAATAATAATTTTCTCCAGTGGCTACTCATTGGTCTATATTGTCTACAGATCACATGTGAGTTGATCCTTGAATAAGTGAAGAGGTAAGGACTTACTTTCCTGAATTGTGCAAGAGCAGCTCAGAGTGGAAAGAGAAACTTTACTTTGTCCAGCTAGCCACCAAACCCACATGGTCGTTGCCACACGTGACTCTGTGGTGACAGACTTTATTGAGTGAAAAATACATTATAAAAAACATAAGGATGATGCAGACAGATTGAAGTGGGTTTACATTTGCTTCGAGGGCCTTTTCTATTCCCTGGGCCTTTGTGTATTTGCAGTGAAGACCCAGGCTGAAGTTTACATGCTTTTAGTTTTGACTGTGTCCATTTTTTTTTATAATCTCATCTTCCTAAGAGGATTCTCCCAGATGTGTATTTGCTTGATTGATTGATTTCCTCTATAGTAATGAAGTAATGTGACCTTTATCTTAAGGAATACTAGCTGGTTAACTAACAAAAGTTTAGTTAGAATGGAACTGGTAAACGAAGTTAAATGATGCTGAGAATCTATGAAATGACGGAAGAAACTTCTGTGTTTAGTAAAAGGCAGACGCTTAGATATTTGTGAAAACATAACTCATCCCTTGCACTGTGGACACAATTCAACAAACATTTTTTGATGCTTCTATAGATCTGGCTCTATGCTAGGCACCAGTGAAACAGTGGTAAACACTGTTCTGCTCCTAATCTCAGGGGCCCACTATCTAGGCAAGAGAGAAAGACACTTTACCAACCAGAAAGCTGGATTTCAGCCAGACTAAGAAGGGCCATAAATGCTATGCTAACAATCCTGGTTTTACTAGTGAAGAACCATCAGAGAGATAACTTTTCTGCTGGGAAATGGGTGACGGATGTAGAAACTGGCATTTGCTTGTCGTGCGACAGTTGGCAAGTCAACCTCTCTGACTCTCACTTGCTTTTGTCTGAAAAAGGAAGATAAAAATAACTTCCTTACTTACCTCACAGGGCTATTATAAGGATCAAATGAAATCAAGATGTGTGAAAGAAATGTTATTCATAGTCAAGAACTATTATTAGGATTACTTAATAATATAGATGTCTGAGAGAACAAAGGAGTATTGGGTGTTGAGTAGTAATGCTCTGAGAATATGGCAAAAATCTTTCATCCAGAGTGGAGCATATGTAGGAGTGAAACCAGTCTTGGTTAAAAAAATCTGAACAATGGAATATATTGAAAAAACATTTTCTTTCTTTTAAAGTAAACTTTGTTGTAAATAAAGAAAATGAACAAGAATGCCCTTAGGTTACAGACAAGAATGTACATCTGGTTGAAAAGAAAAAGGACGGAGCAGACTGGGAAGAAGCTGCTGCAGAGGCAGGATAAAGGCCAGCAGTGACTTCTAAAGAGAGCTAGAGACACAGCCAGGGCACAGAAGGCCAGGGCATGAATTCAAAAGCACTAAAGTCTCCACAGATGCTGGTCTAGCTCTGACCAGCCTTTCAGGAAACACTCCATAGTCTTTCTTGAATCATCTTCTTCCAGGAAGTACTTGGCCCTGAGGGAGCTCACTCTTCAAAAAATAAGTTATGACTCTTGGCAGCATTTTTACTTTTCTTATCTTTTATGATTTCCTGAAAGTGTGGCTCCCACTGGGAAGAGGTCTGTGTCCAGAAGGCCTCAGGGCTTATCTGGATTTTCTATGAATTTTAAAGCCTCACATGCCAATGCAGTGTATATTAAAAGCCAAGATATCTCTTAGGAGAATAAGGTAAGTTAATGTAATAAAATGTACATCACAGTTGGTCTATTACCAGGTGGTAAAATTCCATTACTTCAGCCAAAATTTCAGAATTCATCCTAATGTGAAAAGCATATACAGTAGATATTCAGTATGGAAAAAGTTCTGACTTTAGATTTTTTTCCCTTCATTTATACTATTTTGAAAAGTACCAAAGAAGAGACTGATGTCAGCAAGATGGTGGAATAAGATTTTTCAGCACTCATCCTTTTGCAGAAACATCAATTTAAACAAATATCTATGCAAAAAAAAATGCCTTCACAAGAGCTAAGAATACCAGCTGAGAGATTATAGCACCTGGGTACAGCATAGAAATGAGAAAAGATGCATTGAAGAGGGTAGGAAGAATAGTTTTACATTATCTGTGTTACCACTTCCCCAACCCTAGGCAGCACAGTGGAGAGAGATATCCTTCACTTGGATATCTCTCCAAGATCTCCAAGGAGATATCCAGGGACAGGGAATTGAGCACTAAACTTTGCCTTGGACCCAACACTGGGTCCACTAGAGTAAAACCCAGAGCCAGGCAGGTGTCCGTGGGCCCAGACTCCAATCCACTTGGGGATTAAACCTCCAAGCCCACTCTGGTGCCAAGTGTGACCCCACAGCTTCAGGTTCCACCCTAGCACCCTAAGCCAGCCCCTGCACATTCAGGTTCAAAACTTATCCCAGCACCAGGTCAATGCCTACAGACCCAGACATCAAGCATCAGTGGAAATAGGCTCCAGGCTTGCCCTCACCAACTCAGGCTCCAGGCCTACTGCCCTTGGATTCAATCAATAGGTCTACCCCAGTGGATCCTGACCCCAGGCCCACTCACCTGCTGACCTAGGCATCAGGCCAGTCTTCCTGAAGGCTCCAGCAGAAAGCCCACTCTCAGATTATACCAGACAACCTGCCCCAAATCTCTGGACGGGCTGACTGGTGAAAAACTTTCCCAGACAAAGCCAGTTTGCAAATACTGGAATAAGTCACTACTTCTTTAAATGCTCAGATATCAACAGAAGGCAGAAAGAAACATGAAAAAGCAAGTTGATAGAACACCACCAAAAGAATAATCTCCCAGTAGCTGACCCCAAGGAAATAGAGATATAAAAACTGCTTGACAAGGATTTCAAAATAATTGTTTTAAGGAAGTTCAGCCAACTTCAAGAAAATATAAAGAAATTCAAAGAAATCAGGAAACACAATGCACAACCAAAATGGGAAATTTAACAGTGATATTGAAATTATTTAAAAAGACAGAAATTATAGAGCTGAAAAATACAATGAATGAAATAAAAATGCAATAGATAGCATCAAAAGCAATACTGATTAAGCAGAAGAAAGAATCTGTGAACTAGAAGACAGGTTATTTGAAAACATACAGCCAAAGGAGAAAAAAAATGATAAAAAGGAATTTTAAAAAAGCTTATGGGTCTTATGGGACAACCTCAAAAGTACAAATTTTGAGTCATAAAAGCTCAAGATGGAGAAGAGAGAGACAATGGAGGTATAAAGCTTATTTAAAGAAATAATAGCAGAAAACTTTACAAATATGGGGAAAGATATAAATACACAGGTAAAGAGGGTCAAATGTCTCCAATAAGGTTCAATTAAACAAAACTATACCAAGACACATTATAATCCAACCATTAAAAACCAAAGAGAGGATCCTGAAAGTAGCAAGAAAAAAGAAGCAAATAACATATCAGAGAGTTCCAATGAAATTAGCAATAGATTTATCAGCAGAGACTTACAGGCCAGGGATAGTGGGATGATATATTCAGGATGCTGAAGAAAAAACTCTGCCAACCAAAATTATTGTACCTCAAAAGCTGAAATGAAGGAGAAATGAAGGAGCGATGAAGAAGGAGAGATAAAGACTTTCCCAGACAAAAACTGGAAAGAATGTTTACATCGCTAAGCTTGTCTTACAAGAAATGCTAAAGGAAGTTCTTCAAGCTGAAAGAAAAGAACACTAATTAGTAATACAAAAACATATGAAAGTGTAAAACTCAGTGGTAAAAGTAAATACACAGTCAAATTCAGAACACTCTAATTCTGTAATGGTGGTGTGTAAATTGCTTATATATTTAGTATGAAGGTTAAGAGAAAAAACTATTAAAAATAATGACTACAATAATTTGTTAAGAGATACACAATATAAAAAGATGTAAATTGCAGCTTCAAAAACAAAATGTGAGGGAGAATGGAGCAAAAGTTTAGGGTTTTTTATGCAATGAAAGTTAGGTTGTTATCAGCTTTAAATAGCCTGTTATAACTGTAAGAGGTTTTATGTAAGCTTCGTGGTAACCATAAGGGAAAAACCTACAGTAGATACACATAAGATAAAAAGTAAGCAATCACAGCATAACACTAGAGAAAATCACTTAATCACAAAGTAAGAAAACAAAATAGGCCAAAAGCAACAAAAGATCTATAAAACAACCAGAAAACAATAAAATGGCAGTAGTAAGTCCTTACCTATTAATAATTACCTTAAAAGTAAATAGATTAAATTTTTTAATCAAAGGACATAGAGTGGCTGAATGGAAAAATAAATAAATAAAACAAGACCCAACTATAAGCTGCATACAAGAGACTCATCTCACATTTAGGACACACATAGACTGCAAGCGAAGGGATGGGAAAAAATATCCATGAAAATGAAAACCAAAAAAGAGCAGGTTGGCTATACATATATCAGATAAAATAAACTTTAAGTCAAAAACTGTACAATGAGGCAAAAAATTATTATATAGTGAAAAGGGGCTCAATTTCTCAAGAGAATATGACAATTGTAAATATATATGCACCCAACATTGAGACACCTAAATATAGGTCTAATCCCAGCACTTTGGGAGGCCAAGGTGGGCAGATCACCTGAGGTCAGGAGTTCATGACCAACCTGGCCAACATGGTGAAACCCCGTCTCTACTAAAAATACAAAAATTACCTGGGGCTAAATGGGAGTGCTTCAATGGTGGGTCTGTGAGCAAAGATTGTGAACTTGTTCAAGACAAATGAGAAAAAGAGAGTACTTCTTCCTAGGAAAAATTTCATCAGCCTCTCCATGCCTTTGTTATAAACAGACAGAGGCCCCATTTAACTGGTCTAGAGAATTTTGGAACCAAACATGAGGGTGGCACATGCCTGTAATCCCAGCTACTCGGGGGGCTGAGGCAGGAGAATTACTTGAACCAGGGAGTTGGAGGTTGCAGTGAGCTGAGATCACGCCACTACATTCTAGCCTGGGCGATAGAGCTAGGCTTGTCAAATAATACAGAATTTCAGTCAGATAGAAGGAATAAATTCAAGAGATCTGTTGTGCAACATGGTCACTGTAACTTAATAACGATGTATATTTTGAAAATCTCTACGACAATTTAAGTGTATTCACCAGAAGAAATGATAAATATGTGAGGTAACATGTATGTTATTCAGCTCAATGGAGCTATTTAACAATGTATACATATTTAAAAACATCATATTATACATGATAAATGTGTATGATTTTAATGTTAATTAAAGAAATAAAGTCACAGAGAAAGAAAATGGTGGCAAATACTTTGCTAAATAATAAGTAATCATACTAATTCAAGTTTTTGTCAAATGTCAGTATTTGGGGTTTCAACTAGTTATTACAGAGCTGAAAATTCTGCATGACAACACAAACCCTTATTGAAAATTTATTTCACTTTTATCTTTCAATGCTCCATAGTAATAGAGAGGAATTTCACCTCTAGTTAAGAGAGGGGTTGAAGATTTGCTGAGTGGGGAGAAGCACACCAACATTAGTTTCTCCTGTGGACAACAGATTTAATCTATGTTTTATTTCATTCAGCTAAGAGTTGGTCCTTACCAAGCAATTATGGCCACCTCCGTTTTGTAAATGAGAATACTGATGCCAAGAGAGAGATTTTTGCCAAAGGCGGCACACAGAAGTGGTGGAGCTAACATTCAAGCCAGCCTATGGAACTCCAAAGCCTGAGCTCTTTCCTCAGCCCGTCCCTTTAGCTTTTCCTGGAGCATTGGCTGGGGAATGCCTAGGAGGAAGGGGAGGGCTTGTTAAATTGGGTAGATTAGTGCATGGAGGAAAAGCCTCTCAATCAAAGAGGTGTGAGGGTTTGGAAGAATTGACTAATTACAAAACATGCCCTAGGCTCAGTCTCTCTCTCTCCCCAGCTCCTTCCTTCTTTCTTTCAGGGCAGAATTTCTCCAGCTTGGCTCTATTGACATTCATTGTTGTTCATTTTATTGGGGTGGGACTGTCTTGTGGTTTGTAGGATGTTTAGTGGCATTACTGGCCTCCATCCATTAAATGCCAGTAGCATCCCTCCCCAGTTGTGACAATAAAATATATCCCCAGACATTGCCAAGTGGCTTCTGGGGTAGGGAATCTCTCAGATTTAACAACCGGTTTTGGTTTCGGTTTTGTTTTTGAGATGGAGTCTCACTCTGTCGCCCAGGCTGGAGTGCAGTGGCATGATTTCAGCTCACTGCAACCTCCGCCTCCTAGGTTCAAGTGATTCTCCTGCCTCAGTCTCCAGAGTAGCTGGGATTACAGGTGGCCCACTGCTCCCAGATAATTTCTGTATTTTTAGTAGAGATGAGGTTTTACCATGTTGGCCAGGCTGGTCATGAATTCCTGACCTCAGGTGATCCACCCACCTTGGCCTCCGAAAGTGCTGGGATTATAGGTGTGAGCCTCCATGCCCAGCCAACAACCAGTTTTATAGTGACCAACCATCCCAGTTTGCCCTGGACTGAAGGATTTACTAGGATCTCTGAGGCATTTGTCAGGGATTCAAGGCTAAAACTAGGATAGTCCAGGGCAAACTGGGATATTTGGTCAACCAACAAGTAAAGTTTCATCTCCTGGTTAAATTAAGGCTGTGGTGAGAGGGGGCATTGTGTTGATTGTGTGGTTGTCCTGTCAGTCTTCAGTTTCTCTAAGCTGTTGCTATATCAAGTACATCTGCCTAATACTCCTTTCTTCCCCCTCAGGTAGCCTGCTAGGGTTGTAGGGGAGGTGTCTTACTTAAGGAAGGCTGGCTGAGCCACTGTATGGGTCATTACAGGACAGAAGAAGACCAGAGTGAATGCTGGTCTCTGTGTGTTTTTTTTTTTTTTTTTTTTTTTTTTTTTGCGTGTGTGTGTGTGTTGAACTAAAGAACTGGTAGGGGCAGTTGGGAGGGTGCTGGACTGCAGAGAGCCCTTTAGTGCTGCTCCAGTGGACGTGCACATCTGTGTTTCCACTGAGAGTTAATGGATATTGGATGGGGAAAGGTTTTCAGCTATGTGTTACTGTAGCCTATGACTATGTGGTATGAGCATTTTAATTTATTTGGTGTTTTGAAATACTTTTATGAGTTACTCTGACAACTTGTCAAGGATATTTTCCTGAGAGAAACAAATAAAAGACAAATCTCAAAAATAGTTTGCTATTAGGATTTTATTTGTTGAGATGTTGAAGATGTCTTTTCAACAGTGATACATGTTTTGGTTCTTTGCAAATTTACAAGGCACTCCCAAAATGTCATTTGTCCCTCATTCTTCTATTCTTGATATCATTCTATGATCCTGTACAGGATGAAAGCAACTGAGTTCTGAAGGTAGTAAGTAACATGCTGAGGTCAAATGCCAGGATTTGAGTCAGGTTCATGGGGCTCCATGTCCTGTGACCTCTCTGCTCCACCAGGCTGTGAAAGAATGACTCTTGCATTCATGCAGTCAGTCTGTGTTGCTGTAAACCTGAATGGTAAAATGACAAATGTAGACACAGAGGGTGTGAATCAGCTCTATTAGCAGTGACTCTGAGAATAGTCCTTTCCCTCCTCTGTCTTCCCCTTCTCTGTCTTGCAGCAAGTGGGAGGACGAAGCAGGTTTCATAAGAGCAGCGCCCAAGACCCACAGTCGCCTAGTGCCAAGTCAACAACCTTACTGATATCTGGATGTAGTTTCCTGTGCTCTTTGACACAGGTGTGGAGATTGTAATTTGCTGTGTGTGATTGTTTGCACTTCCTTGATTATGTAAACCAGTGGCTTTTGCCAAGAACTCTTCATGCCCTGAAGCTCTGAGCTGGTTCCCTCCCATTGGTGGACCTTATTTCATTTTATTGGGAGGCGTAACTTTCAGGTCACAGAGCAGTGATAACTACCTGCCAGTGTCTCTTAGGAGTGAGGTACCTGGAGTTCGGGGACCCCAACCTGTGACAATGACAGCAGACAAATTGGTTTTCTTTGTGAATGGCAGAAAGGTAAGTAGGAGCTGACCTTTGGTTTTGTGTCCCTTCTCCCTGGGAGGGGAAATGTGTCCTCTGGCAGAGCCATATCTTGTTCTCTGTCTTTCCTGTCCCCTCTTACTTGTTCTGTCTTTCTCTCTCTCGCTTTAAAGGTGTCGCTGCATTTTGGTAACATTAGGGAAGAAGACCTTCTCGGGGCTAGAGCACAGACAAGATACTCAGAGGCCAAAGAATGAGGGAGAGAGAGGCAAGCAGAGAGGCATCTGTGAGCTAGCTGCCAACTCTCTGCAGTAGTGGAGATTGGCACAGAATGAGAAAGGGGAGTTGAGTTCTAGGTGAGATTTGAGGTCATCACCACACTTCTATTTCTGTCTTTAATCAAATATATCCTAAAATTTACGTTGCTCTCTTTACAGAGAGAAGGAACAGGAATGTGTTTTCCTGCTTTTATCAGGATATAAGATGTACGCAGCCTTTGATTCTAATATATTATATATATAGGTTTAACAGCCAGTCCTGATTCACTGTGAGGTGACATATACTGACACCTTGTGGCAAACCACAATTTTTTTTTCATAAAGGGCATCTCCTGCATTCCCCCCACTCCCCACCCACACACAGTGAGTTCTACATGTAAGCTGCAAATCTGTTACCTACTTGAATTTACCTTATTGGTACACAGGGACTTAGGGAAGGTGACATGGGTACCAGCCCTTGGACAAGAGTGAGAATCTTTGCAAATTTTAATGTGGTGCAGAGAGAGAGGGGGCAAGCATATTACATGGTCACTAGCCTCCATTTGCCCTCCTACAACACTGCTGAGATGCTCATACCTGTTCAACTTCCCACTTAGGAATGAAAAGGATAGTAAAAGAGTCCCATAGTTGCACATTGTAACTTACTGTGTGGACTGTGCGTGATGAATGTGCCCAAAGTGTCCCCCAAAGAAGGGCAATTTTATTTGTCTTTCTATATTGGCATTTTTGCATTGAGTTGAGAAACTTTTGATGTAATTTTGAGTGACTTTTGGTATAATTTTCAAGAACAATAATGTGCTTCACTGGACTCCTAGGTCTTAAATTTCCAGGATGTGTTTGGGTGACTGTAAAAGAAATTTCATGAACTGTTTCAACGTCAGTGCTCCAAAGATTGATGGACTCTCTTTGAGTGGTGCCTTTGGGAAGTGCTGGGGAATGGGGACAGCCATGTTCTTCTGGGTTCAGAGTTTCCTCTCTGAGCTGCATCCTTTTCAGGGTTGGCACCTGGTACCAACCCAAGAAGTAGGGCAAAGCTTTCAAGTGTAAGATTTTGCATCCAGCATTTCAAACAACTTCTTTCCTTCAGCAATTACATTGTAGAAATCTAGGAAACCATTGTGCAATTGGCTTTCTAGGAGAGCTACTTACACAAAGCCATCTCTGGAATTTTTATTAGTAATTTTTACATTGGGTAAACAGCTAGATTCAATGACGTCCAAGGTCATGTCTTACTCTGAGGTTTTATTATTTATTAAACCAAACCATTGGTTAACCTGTAAAAGTATAAGTTTCTGCTCTTCTTCAGGGATGGCTTGCTGTTATGCACTAAATCTAGAAAGAAGAATTTCAAGGTAAATCTGGCTTGGGGAAAATTATTTTCCCTTGCATTTTACTTTCACTTTAGGAGAGTAATTTTAAATTTTTCGATGGTACCATCACATCAAATCCTATTATTTCTAGAAGCTTCTACTACTGCCAGTTTCTGTGATGAATATCCATGTTTGTAATTTATAATGATGTAGCATCTTCAGAAACTGCAAGAAAGGTAGAGGGGCAATGCAGAAAGTAATTATGTGAAAGCAATGCTGTAAAAACAAGACCAAGCAAGGGAATTCCTGGGTAAACAATGGCAGCTGTGAGAAAGTTGTCCTCATTTTTATTCAGAAGATATTCTAGACCTTTTGTTACAGGAATTGTGCAAAGTAGTTACCAAAGAAGCTGTAAGAACTTAGTGACTCTTTTTTTTTATTATTATACTTTAAGTTCTAGGGTACATGTGGACAACGTGCAGGCTTGTTACATATGTACACATGTGCCATGTTGGTTTGCTGCACCCATTAACTCGTCATTTACATTAGGTATATCTCCTAATGCTATCCCTCCCCTCTCCCCCCACCCCACGACAGGCCCCGGTGTGTGATGTTCCCCTTCCTGTGTCCAAGTGTTCTCATTGTTCAATTCCTACCTATGAGTGAGAACATGCAGTGTTTGGTTTTTAAATGTGAGCCTACTCCTCTCCTTGTTTTGTACCACTGTCCAGGACTCTGGCTTCACTAAATGGGGTCCTGCAGAAGGTGTTCGATGCAAGAAGTCGAATACCTCTAGGGCCTTCTGTGGTGGTGATGAGCCTTGATGACTATTGTTTTCATTCACATCTTCTTTTGTTCTAGAGTCAGAGTCAAAGGGAAAGAGCTGTCCAGTATTTTATTTTTATTGTAATGACAGCCTTTTTGCAAGGCAGCATTCTAGCTTTTCTGAGTAGTCACTCTGTCTAGCTGAGACTGTGGCACCTGGAAGAATCTGGGAGGATCTGGCAGGTTGGGTGCAGCCAAAGGTGTCCAGGAGTGATCCCCACAAGAAGTGAGTGTCAGCTACAGAGATCGTCACGGTGACTTTCACTCACTCACTCACTCACTCACTCACTTACTCATCATTCACTTGCTCACTCCCCATATAGTCAACATTTATCAAGCTCCTTCTGAGGCCTCAGACAACAGGATATGCACTGGGGGAATAAGATCTCCAAGATCAGGCATTTGCCATTCTGGAGCCCATATACTAGTTAGAGAGATGGATTATAATTAGACAAAGTAATACCTTCTGAAATGTATTTCACAGAAAACTAGCAGCATGAGATGCTCTTCTTGGATATTCTTAAACCACTTAGCACAGTGCATGGTATACAGTAGGTGTCCAACTAGTGTGGATGGAATAAGTGGATGAATTTTTAAAACTTTGAGAAATCCTGTAGTAAATAAATTACTTCTCTAACTTTGTATTTTACAATTATTTTATATTTAAAGAAAAACTGCAAGAAGAATACAAGGAAATACTAAATACCCTTTATGTACTTTACCAACTGTTAATGTTTTGCCACATTTGCTTTATTATTCTCTCTTTCTCACTCTGGACACACACACAGATACACATGTATGTATTATAAGTACGTAAATAATTCTATATATTAATGTACATAATTAATATAAATGAATATATAGTATAAGATAGATTTCTGAACCTTTTGACAGTAAGTTTCAGACATCATGTTCCTTTAGCTCTTATCCTAAGAATAAATATATTCTTTTTTTTTTTTTTTTTCCTGAGACAGGGTTTCACTGTGTCGCCCAGGCTGGAGTGCAGTGGCGCGATCTCGGCTCACTGCAACCTTGCCGCCTGGGTTCAAGCAATTGTCTGCCTCAGCCTCCTGAGTAGCTGGGATTACAGGCGCCCACCACCGTGCCTGGCTAAGTTTTTGTATTTTTAGTAGAGTTGGGGTTCTACCATCTTGGCCAGGCTGATGTTGAACTCCTGACCTGTGATCCACCCACCTCGGCCTCCCAAAGTGCTGGTATTACAGGCGTGAGCCACCGCGCCTGGCCAGAATAAATATATTCTTACAAAACTGTAGTCCATTTATAGAAATCAAGAAACTTAGCTTTGGTGTAATACTATAAACTTTATGCAAATGTATTCCAATTTTCCCAATACTGGCATTTATAACTCCCCAACCCCAGCCCGGAATCCAAGATTACGCCTTGCAGTTGGTTGCCATGTCTTTAGTCTCCTCTAATCTAGAACAGCTCCTCAGCTTTCCTTTCATGACATTGGTGTTTCTGAAAAGAACAGGCCAGTTTTTTTTTAGAATGTTCCTCACATTGAATTGTATTATGCTTTCTTGTAATTAGATTCAGAGTCTGCATTTGGGGGGCAGGAATACCACAGAAGTAATGTGTTTTTCTCACTGCATTCTGTCATTATGTTTGTTTTTTTAACGTCAGTTTTTGGGTCTTTTTTGTGATGCGAACTTTGGTGACTTGGCTAAGGTGTTATCCACCACGTTTCTTCACTGTAAGGTAACTTTTCTTTACCTTTATAATTAATAGAGGCTATGTGAGAAGATAATTTGGAATGATACAAATTCTTGTTCATCAAATTTTCACCCACTAATTTGAGTATCCATTGATATTCTTTTTTTAAATAATTTTTATTGTGGTAAAATACATAAAATTTACCATCTTAATCATTTTTATGTGTACAGTTCAGTGGTATTACATACATTCATAATATTGGGCAACCATCATCACCGTCCACCTCCATAACTTCTTTCATCTTTTAAGACAAACTCTATAAATTTACTAAATAATAACTCCCTATTCTACCTTTCTCCCAGTCCCTGGAAACCATCATTTTTTCTGTCTCTATGAATTTGACTAAACTACCTCACTTAAGGGGAATCATACAGTATGTCTTTTTGTGACTGGCTTATTTCATTTAGCATAATGTTCACCTATGTTGTAGCATATGTCAAAAATTCCTTCCTTTCTCAGGTTGAATAATATTCCATTGTATGGATGTATCACATTTTGCTTATCCATTCATCTATTGATGGACATTTTGGTTGCTTTCACAGTTTGGCTACTGTGAATAACGTTGTCATGAACTCAGGTGTATAAATATCTGAGACCCTGACTTCAATTATTTTGGGTATAAATCCAGAAGTGGAATTGCTGGATCATATGCTGGTTCTATTTTTACTTTTTTGTGGAACTGTCCTACTTATTTTTCCACAGTGGCTGTATCATTTTGCATTCCCATCAACAGTGGACAGGTGTTCCAGTTTCTCCACGTCCTTGCAAACAGTTATTTTCTGTTTATTTGTTTGTTCGTTGATCATAGCTATCCTAATGGGTATGAGGTGAAATCTCATTATAGTTCTGATTAGTGATGTTCAGCATCTTTTCATTTATTTGCTGGCCATTTGTAGATCTTTGGAGAAATGTCTATTCAAGTCCTTTGCCCATTTTTGAATTGGGTTTTATAGTTGTTGAGTTTTAGGAGTTCTGTATTACACTTGATCTCATAGTCACTGATGGCTCATTGCAACATTTACATAAAAACCAGAAGAAAAGAGAAGAAGGGGAGATGGAAAGACCTTTAATTTTTAATTTTTGGGGGTACATAGTAGATCTACATATTTATGGGGTACATGAGATACTTTGATATAGGCATGCAATGTGTAATAATTACATGATAGAAAATGTGGTATTCATCTCCTCAAGCATTTATCCTTTGTGTTACAAATGATCTAATTATACTTTTTTAGTTATTTTTAAATGTACAGTTAAATTATTATTGACTGTAGTTATTCTGTTGTGTTATCCAACACTAGGTCTTTTTCATTCTTTCTATTTTTTTGTACCTATTAGCCATCCCTACTTTCCTCTTACCCCCTACTACCCTTTCCAGCCTCTGATACCATCCTTCTACTCTATCTCCATGAGTTCAATTGTTTTGATTTTTAGCTCCCACAAATCAGTGAGAACATGTGAAGTTTGTCTTTCTGTACCTGACTTATTTCACTTAACGTAATGACCTCCAGCTCCATCCATCCATGTTGTTGCAAATGACAGGATCTCGTTCTTTTTTATGGCTAAATAGCACTCCAGTGTGTATGTGTACCACATTTTCTTTATCCATTCATCTGTTCACGGACGCTTAGGTTGCTTCCAAATGTTGGCTGTTGTGAATAATGCTGCAAAAAACATAGGAGTGCAGGTATCTGTTTTATATACTGACTTCCTTTCTTTTGTGTATATACCCAGCAGTGGGATTGCTGGATCATATGGTAGCTCCATTCTTAATTTTTGGGGGAAACTTCAAACTGTTCTCCATAGTGGCTGTACTAATTTCCATTGATGATTCTTAACTGGATCAATTGTGTTGATTACAAGATGGCCAATCATATTTATTAGATGACATTCTTCTGCCAGGAAGAGCTTTTCCATATCTTCCATTTGTTTGTTTGTTGACTCTATTTGGACTCATAGGTTTTAATTGTATTTAATGTATTATAGCCCATTATGGCTGTTATTTCTTTTGATGCTCAAGTTTTACCAGAGCAATCTGCTTAACCCAACATTTCCTTAACTCACTTCCCTACAAAATGTTTTTCCTTTGGGATACCCATTGGTATCCTGTTGAGAGTGTTCAATGGAGTGCACCATGGTAATCCTGCTGTCACACCTTGAGAGTGGCACAGTCATTCTCTATAGCAATCCACTTGTGGCTGGAGTGATAAGGAAAGCCTTTATGAAGAAATTGTTTGAAGTCTTCTGATAAGTCAAAATGCAGGTGGAAGAGGAATGGCATAGTCAAAGGCACAGGAATTAGAAGATATAAAATGTATTTTTAGTGCACTAAGATGACCAGCTTGGCAGGGAAGTAGAAGGGAGAAAGGCTGAAAATGAAGATTGGGAATATATTGAAAAGGGCCTTGAAAGACAGCCTAAGGAACTTGGATGTTACCTTGAATATGTGGGTGGTCATGAAAAGCACTGAGCAGGGAACTGATGTGATGTGATAAAAGCAGAACTGCAGTACGGGAGAAATGAACAATGTGGTGGTAAGCTAAGAGGCTCTTAATGTTGTCTACAAGAAAGGTGATAAAGATTGCTATTTTGTGCATTTATGATTACTTCTATGATTTGTAACCAGGATATTGAATAAGCTGGACTCATGGGGTGTAATCACATAAGAAAATTAATTTCATCTACTTTCCTTTAAACTTTATTCAAAGGACAAATTCTGGCAGTTTCATGAACTTTTTATTACTCTTAGTCAATAAAAAATCTTATGGTTATTTTTAAGTTGCCAAACAGTCTCAATTCAGGACGGCGGGGTGAGGATAGCAAGAAAGCTCTCCTTTAATTGGTACTATTGTAAGATGGCTTCCGGCTTTCTGAGCCTTTTAGGTGTTTGGAGCTGACCTTTCATTCTTCTTGTGATGGCTTTCAAGGATCTTCAAGGGCCACCACAGGGAATATTTGCATGCATGTCTCATGATATGAGTGATGCACTTTTCTCAGGCTGCTGTTCTCCATCAGCCTCCAGTTTGGGGAAGTCCACTCCACACAGTCTCTCTTTATTGAATGCTCTATCCTGTATTTTGGGAAATGATTTAAAGACCTCCAAGCCAGCTCTTTTTATCTCATGAATGGCTTGCATTACATCCATAGGCGACACTTCCACATCCTCTGCTCTACCAAGCTCCGGGAGTGTATACCAACCCCAGCACAGCCACCTCTCCAACTTAAGTTTAATGAGGAGTTTAAACTTGTCATTGTCGGTATTAATTTCTTGTTAAGCCTATCTCTTCCCCTATGCTGCAAAGGTGGCATGTTAGATTTTTATGTAGCACAAAGCAAGCTCCCTCACTAAGTTTGAGGTGGGAGGCAAATATTCCTCCCCTTCTCCTTTAGGAAGGTGTGGGTAGTATAGTTCCCTCCAACGAAAACCTTATCATGAATTCTTTCTCTTTATTATCCCAATAATATACACCCTTTTAAGCTTTGGTAATGTGTGAAGAGTACTGAAATCGGTTTTTGTAGATTTCCTTTGACAATTCACAGTGGGAACTGACATCGCACTTTCTAGACCACTTTTTCCACCTTATTGAACCTAGTGATGGATCTTTGGTTTGAGATTTCTCTTTCATTTCTGACATGTATTAGTGTTGACTAATACGCATCACATGCCAACACTCTGCTCTGAGCACAGGCCAACAGAATGGCCTTCCACAGTCACATGCAGGATCTGAGATTGTATACTCAAAGAGGCAAAGTCCGAGATCTGCATGCCATGCTCTCAGATGCCCCTGAAATTCACAGGTGTGATCTAGCAGTTGAAATGAGATGACAGGTTTTATTTGAAGGGGATTTGGCCTTGGTCGAGCCAGCGTGGAAGGTGCAATGCCTGCATGTTCTGTGGTGGGTCCCAAGGTGAGCATTGAGGTACAATTTTAGAATTTAAGGATTTGAGTATATACATTGTCTGGCTGTAGTTTATAGGTTCATTCTTATGGAGTTGCCATAAAAATACCTTAGTTTTCATGATCTATTTAGCACATTGTATTAGGCCATTCATGCATTGCTATAAAGAAACACCTGAGGCTGGGTAATTATAAGAAAAGAGATTTAGTTGGCTCACAGTTCTGCAGGCTGTACAAGCATGACACCAGCATGTGCTTGGCTTCTGGGGAGGCCTCCAGGAGTTTTTACTCATGGCAGAAGGCAAAGTGGGAGCAGGCACATCACATGGCCAGTAAGAGCAAGAGAGAGAGAGAAGGGGGTGATGCCACATACTTTTAAATATCTCGTGACAACTAATTCACAACTAAGGGGATGGCACTAAGCCATTCATGAGAAATCTGCCCCCATGATCATATTGCTTCCCACTAGGCCCCACCTTCAACACTGGGGATTACAATTAAACATGAGATTTAGAGGGGCAGAGTGCAAACTATATCACACTTCCTACTAACTCTACAAATTATTGAGTGAGACACTGAAGGAAGAAATTAATTGCAGAAAGATGACTAAGTATACCTATGATATATTTTTCTTTCATTTATTTTAATAGGTGGTGGAGAAAAATGCAGATCCAGAGACAACCCTTTTGGCCTACCTGAGAAGAAAGTGTATCCTGACTTTGGAGTGGGAGTGACGGAGAAGGGGGGCAATGGTGACTGATTCTGTAGGCCTTACATTGTTTCCTAGTGACTGGTGGGGTGGCCTTGAGGTGTGGAGGAAAGAGCACTGGATTAGGACTTGGGACACTTGCATTTTAGTTGCACCTGTAATCTGAAATTCTCAGCTACTGAATGAGAGGATTGTTTGTGGTGATCTTCGAGGTGTCTCCCCGCTAAGACTCTAGTAATGCCAAGGTTTAATCCAGGGCCTGTAGAAAGGTCCTCATTAGCCTTGGTGAGCTTCATGGTCATTCCTCTGTGGGAAGAGGGGGGCCTTCCTTAGGTGACATTTGCTTAATACATAAATGGAGTTCCTGGGGAATGTTTCCAGCTCTGCCTAGGTGGAGGGAAGCAAGGGAACATGTGTCTATTGGGAAAAGGATGCGTGAGGTAAGAATCCTATACAGGTAGCATTCATTGTAGAAACAGCAAACAGGGAGCCCTGGAGGGTGGGGGGACTCCTTAGAAAGACTGGGGTGCTGCTCTTCACTCAGTGTGGGTGGGGCTTCTGGAAAAGCCCCTTTACCTTTAGTTCTGAGTATCGGAAGTATTCTGGGACCCTGGAACTAAAACGATAATAATAATTGGAGTTAATATTTAATGAGCACTTCCTATATACAGGCAGGATTCAAAGTGATTTGTGCAGCTCACCTCAATCTCCACAGGAATCCCATGGAAGCGTAACACTCCCTTTTCACAGAGGAGGAACTGAGGCCTTGATATGTGAAGTGACCTGCCTTTTGCTAGTGTGTTCTGGGGAAATAGTGATGGAGATTGCACCAAAGCCTAGAGCTGTGTTCCCAACCTCTCACCCGCACTGGCAACTCTCCAGGGGGCCTGTGAGCAGGACTGTGCTCATCCTGACCTCTGTCAACAAAACCCTCCTTCTCCTAGCGGGGGTGTCTAGTGGGTCTTTCCAGTGACATATTTGGGGACAGCAAAGATTATTATAACACGCACAGAAGTGAGACTGGAGCCCATGCTTTCACTCTGGTTTGCTCCCCTCCTATCAGACAGTACAGTGGTTGGCTTTGGTGTACTTTGTTCTGGATTTTTTACCTTAAGTGGGTGTATCTGGAGGTTCACAGAAGATAAACCTGGTGGTGCTGGGGAGTGAAAGTGTCACTAGATCGGATCAGGTGATTGCATGGAACTCCATTTACAGCCCATCTACCTGGGAGGTCTGGGAAGAGAAGCTCATTCTCAGAGATTATTGAGATCAATTTTAGCTTTCTAATAATAAAACAAATTTTAATTTTTTAATCATTTCCATTGTAGTTTTGAAGGCCCAGAAGCCTCAGAAATTCCTTATCAGCAATTGGCTGTGTCACATCTTAAATGAAATGCAAAACTGAAAGTTGGCACATAAGTAGGATGACCTTGCAGCTTATGGCTATCTGTGCTGAGAGTCAATTTATGGGAGTTCCAGATGGGGGAGAAAACTCCAGCCTTGACTTTTACACTAGCTTCCAGAAAGGTCTCCAGGCTGGAAGAAGACCTTGCTAGACTTTGTACTGCCACCATTCATCTTCAGGTGCCACCATTCGTCTTCAGGTGCCCCCAAAGTTGTTTGACCTGCTGAGAGCTGCATATATCCTGACTAGGACACAGAAAACCTTCCCAGGTGTGCTGGGGAGGAAGGAGCGTGATGAAGGGAGCTCACCCAGTCTGGAGTCCGATGGCTGTGATGGGGCCACACCGGCAGGGTAACGTGTTCCTGTGTCATCTTGTGTGGCCCACGTTACCTCTTGGGTCTCAGTTTGTTGTTTTTTTTAAATCTGTGAGGAAGTTTCTTTCCTACCTGCTAACCAAATCATTCTGGAGGTCAAACAGGTATCTAGGTGAAAGTGCTTTTCAAAAATAAGATGTTATATCATTGTTTTTAAATTTTGTCTTGAAAATGAGAGAAGTGACCAGGCGATTATATCCTCAGTTCCCTCCATCTTCAGTAGGTAGTGGGTGGCTTAGAGGCCTGCAGGTCTGAGGGAGAAGCAGCCATGTGACTCAGGGAAAGTGACCTCCACAATAGCTGTTCTCTAGAATAGCTTACCAGTTAGGCACTTTTAAAACTCAAAGTAGCAGATGGTCTTTCTGCAAGTATATGTAAGAGTGAGGCCCAATATTGGACCCAGACCTAAAAAAACCACTCTATTTTAATTTCCATTCACATATCTTTTGGACCAAATATTCAAAAGCCTCTGGTCTAGCCCTAATTTTGATTCTTGGGGACTTATCAGCCCAAAAAGTTCAGAGTGAAAAGCAAGGACTCAGAGGTCCCAGAACAGATCAATGTCTCATTCTGGCCCAAGTGGCTTCATGGTGTGCCCAGCTGGGAGTGATGTGAGAACTGCCCCGTATGCTCAGGTGTATGATTTACCTGCTCACACATAGAAGACCTCAACCCAAGAGAAGGCTCTAGGACTGACCAGTCCTAGAACTCATGTCCCAAGAGATGCTACTTGGGTGCTGTCCATGGGGTTCTGATGCCTTTGCTCTTCTGTGCAGTGGAGATGGCCGTGTTCCCTGCCTCCCTAGGGTGCAGTGCAGCCCCTCTGAATAAGGAGGCCAGTGGGCCTGCTGCCTTCCTTGGTTGAGGGGCCTGAGCACGTGTGGGAATGAATGGCTCTGCCCACAGCTCTGCCCAGGCATTTCCTAGCAACCCAGCAGACTCCTCTCCCTGAGTTCATTCTCCTTAACTCTTGACCACCCAGTGGGGCTGAGTGGAACCAAGCTCGGCTGTGGAGAGGGGGGCTGCGGGGCTTGCACAGTGATGCTCTCCAAGTATGATCGTCTGCAGAACAAGATCGTGTATCCTTTGCCTGCTGGCTGACCACCCACATGGGGGCTGCGATGCAGGACCAGCTTGTGAGGGAGTGCATGAGTGTATGTGTGTATGTGCATGTGCGCATGTGTGAGCCCCTGTTTTTATGGAGAATCTGTGCACAGGAAAACTGTAGAATGATCTCTTAGCAAGTATCTTCTAGGCTTATAATATTGACCAGGCTCCGAACTGCTGATAAAATGACTTTTCTAAAATCCACATTTATATCACATTCCATAAAGCCCTTCAATAGCTCTTCATTGCCCCCAGGACAAAATCTCTTTGCTTAGCGGGCAAGGCCCTGCACAGTATGCCCCAGGTTTCTTCTCCAGTTTTCTTTCTCACCATGGGCCCAGCACTCCATTCAAGCAGAGATAATTGTGAAATACCAATGACACAGGCCCACTAATTGCTTGGTCTTTGTTTAAGCTGGGAAGTTCTCCTAGGATTTCTCTATCTGACTAACTCTTACTAGCTCTTTACAACTGGGCAAAAATATCACCCCCTCCAGGAAGCCATCCTGGATCTCTCAAGACTGGGTTAGGTGCCCCTTGACTGTGCTGGTCCCATAGTGCCCTGTGCACAGCATTCCCAATGTAAACTCAGGCATGATACAATTTTTACAGTTTATTTGAGAAAACAACAGTTCATGAGCTCAAGCAGCTCCACATTAGAAGCAGTTCAGGAGCTCCACCAGGGAAATGCAAGCAGGAGGTTTTTGTAGGATGGACACAGGCAAAAAGCAAAGAAATTATTTGATTGGTTACAATTATACAATTGCCTTACTTGGTCTATCCCACTGGAAAGTCCCTAGTACTATAGTTATAAGTTTGTTGACTACTTCTGATTGGTTGATCGTAAGGCTTTTTTTTAATATAAAGATATTCGTAAGAAGTAGCTCAAGTTAAGACTCTGCTGCAAATCAAGCACAGTTTAGGTCACTTGTGAGGCCTAACTGGTTTCCTC
Organism: Homo sapiens; assembly: GCF_000001405.40. Classification (NCBI taxonomy): domain Eukaryota; kingdom Metazoa; phylum Chordata; class Mammalia; order Primates; family Hominidae; genus Homo; species Homo sapiens. Next base: position 31,402,068 of record NC_000002.12, on the reverse strand, counting down.
TGCTGAGTCTTCAGGCCTGGTCTCCTTTTTAATTTACTTTAACAAGATTTAAATTGCACCTTCATATGGACTTTGGTTTTCTCAGTTGACTGCAGTCTGTTGAAGGGCAGAGCTTTCATCTTATTCATCTTTATTTTCCCAGCCCTCAGCAGAGTGCCTGACTTATGTCTGGCACTCAATAACTGATGCTGAATGTAAGTGAATGAGTGATGAATAACAGAAGAATGCAAGGAAGTTCTAGCTAAGGGCTTGCTGTCTCATGTTGCCTGGGGGTTTCCTCCCCCTTTCCCCACAGAGAAATGAAAGCAATAGAGGCGAGGAAATGCAGGGAAGCAAAGTGATTGGAAGCTAAGGAACAGCCCTGCAGGCAGGAGCATGCTTTAAGGCTGCAGCCTGCCAGAGAAATTTCCTCTTGACTCAGCCTCCTGGGTCAGGCTGAGTAAGAGGTGACTGAAAGTGACCCTGGCTCCGTTGCTCCTGCTCAGAGGCTGAGGATGCTCTGATGCCTGATCCCACAGTACTCTGGAGGGGCTCAGCTTTACCTATAAGGAGAGCTTCCTTTGTTCCTTTCCCAGAGTCTTCAGTGGAGAGGTGAGGACACTGGTAGAAGAGACAAGAACATAAATGGGAGCGGAGAGACGTAACATAAAGCCTCACAAAGTCCTCCAGAGCTCACAGTCAGGCCCATTCTGATGATCTGAGTGGACAATAAATGGAATGACCTTAATCTGGGGTTCTAGCCACTTTTCTGCCAATGCCTGCCTGGCCCCCATCTGCTCCTTGCACCATGTTGCAGTGACAACTGTGGAAGGAATAGGAAGCACCAAGACGAGGCTGCATCCTGTGCAGGTAAACAGAGGAAAGGGAGCTGTGCTCTTGAGATCAGGCTCTTTCCTCTGCAGGGAGGCTCATGCCAAAGTTGCAGACTTGCTTTGGGTTGTTGGGAAGAGTTTCACTGCTTAATCTAAGAAGGCATTTCACCCTGGCCACCTCCCCATCTCCTCTGGGTACCGTGAGGTGAAAAGAAGAAACACCCAAGCCTGAAGCTCCTTCCTGTGAGCTGGTTGGTTATAACATTGCATGATCTGAAGGGACCCAAGAGGCCAACTGAATCTGGTGGCTAGACCAGTCCAGAACTTGGAGGAAGGGATGCAGAAGAGCTTCCTCACTTTGTTCTGGAGTGTGTTTAGGAAACTCCCAGCCTTCCCAGATTTGAATTTTAATTATCTGTGCCCCTTGTTTATAAGCCCACTTACTCCCTGCAATGGTAATTCTGCACCCCTTACCTCCCACCCGCAGATAGTACAAATGTAAACTGCTAGGCCTCCTCTTTCATTAGACTGGAGGTTAGCAAGTGCTAAATAAGATGACAGAGATTTAGTGCCTGAGCAAGGCTTTCTCCTTGATGGTATCAGACCACCTGAAAATGCATTGAAATCCGAAACATTTCTGGGGCAAATGGGCAGTAATAATCTTAGACTGGTTTGGGGAGACAATCAGGATGCTGTTAGGCTGAGTGGAAAGAAAGGGGAGTAGAGCCCTGTTGGAAGGAACGGCCATTGTCCCCAAAGCATTTTGTTTGAGGAAACTTGGGGTCTTTGGGAGATCGAGACTATCCTGGCTAACATGGTGAAACCCCATCTCTACTAAAAATACCAAAAAATTAGCCAGGCGGAGTGGCGGGCGCCTGTAGTCCCAGATACTCAGGAGGCTGAGGCAGGAGAATGGCGTGAACCTGGGAGATGGAGCTTGCAGTGAGCCGAGATCGTGCCACTGGACTCCAGCCTGGGCGACAGAGTGAGACTCCATCTCAAAAAAAAAAAAAAAAAAAAGAAGTTACCAGAGCTTGGCCCAGGTCTTAATCCTCCCTTGATTATTTGAGGAGACATGTCATTCAGGCGATGGAGCTGGAGCCTCCTGCGGAGAGGCTGGTACTATTCCTTGGAGTGGCATCTTGGGCCAGTCATGTGAGGCCAGCCAGGTCGGGGTGGGATTGCTTCCCATCTATAGATTTGTTTCTTAGGCAGGAAGAGGGGAAATTACTAAACTTGTCCAACCTGAAGGAGACGTGAGAGGGTTAATTAAGGCTTGTTATTTTCTTTGAAACAAACAGATGAAAGAAAGAATAAACAGTTTAAACATAGGAGTCAAGTATTAGTCTATTCTCACACTGCTGATAAAGACATAACCAAGACTGGGTAATTTACAAAGAAAGAGAAGTTTAATGGATTCAGTTCCACATGGCTGGGGAGGCCTCACAATCATGGCAGAAGGTGAAAAGCACATCTTACATGGTGGCAGACAAGAGAAATGAGAGCTAAGTGAAAACAGAAACCCTTCAGATTTCGTCAGATTTATTCACTACCATGAGAACAGGATGGGGGAACCACCCCCATGATTCAGTTATCTCCCACAGGGTCCCTCTCGCAACACATGGGAATTATGGGGGCTACAATTCAAGATGAGATTGGGGTGAGGACACAGCCAAACCAAATTAGGTTGTATCTGTATAATCAACCTAAAATCCTCCCTATCCAATGGTACAGGTTCTTATTCCTAATCAACTTATTTTGGCTACAAATAGGCTTCAGAGCCAGATTCCACTTCTTGTCCATTTATTTGTTTTCTCTTGGTTTCTGTGACACTGTGGTTCTGGCTTTTCCTTCTCTCCCCACACTTGCTCCTCCTCTGCTCAGTCTCTAATTGCTGCAGTGCCCTGAGCCCTGACCTGGGCCCCTCCCCTTCTTCATCCCTATACTCTCATTTACAACTTCAGCTTTGACCTCCCCTCAGAAGTTACATTTCCAATTGCCTATTTGACATCTCAATACGGATGTCTAATCTCAAACTTAAGAAAACCCTACTCTTTTCCTAATGGCTTCCTTCCCCAGTCTTCTCCCATCTGAGTCAATGGCAAAGCCATCCACCCAATTGCTCAAGACAAAAATCTAGACATCACCTTTGACTGTTTCTGTCATATGCCACACCCAATCCATTCAGAAGCTGCCTTCTGGTTATGATAGTCACTGTTCTTTGAAGGGACCTTCCTAGTCATAGCTAACACTGGCTGACTGCCTGCTATATGCAGGTACAGTGTTAAGGGTTTTACATGAATATCTCAGTTAATCCTCATCGCAGCTCTAGAGGTAACTACAAGGATGGTCCTCATCATACAGATGAAGAACCTAGACTCAGAGGGCTTGGAAACTGGCCAAGGTCACAGTTGGTAAATGGTGGCACTGGGGCTTGACTCTGTGCAGTGATTACTACCCCCACTATCTCTCAACATGTGCTGGCTCCAGTCGAGTCCTTTGGGGAGCCTGGGAGGGTTCTGCCATCCCAGGTGTCTATGTCATCTGTATCTTTTAGGAGAGAATTGCCAAAAGCCACGGCTCCCAGTGCGGGTTCTGCACCCCTGGCATCGTCATGAGTATGTACACACTGCTCCGGAATCAGCCCGAGCCCACCATGGAGGAGATTGAGAATGCCTTCCAAGGTATGGGCCTTCAGGCACAGCCTAGGAGGTGGAATGGCAAACGAGGCCCTGCAGAGGTCAGGGCAAGTGCCAGGGTGAGAAGCATGAGGGACTACCCTTTGGAGGAAGGGCTCAGGCCCCCCAACAAGGTGGTGACTAAGATCTGCTAGAAAGCCAACCCTCTCTTACTTGGGAGAACTCCTGGTTGGTGTGGAGACCTCCTGGGGTCTCCTGCCTTTGTGTCCATATTTCTGAGGTGTCTGTCTGCCTTCCACCAGTATTGGAGTGGGGTTGGCAGTGCATGGCTGGTGCAGGAAGACGTCATTTAGAAAACTCCACGGGGGCTAGTGATATGATTTCCTTCCCTCTCAGTTTTCACCAGAACAGGATTCTGCAGGGCCAAGACCACCAATGTGTCTGCTTCTCTGAATTGAATAGAGAAGCCTCCCCATCTATTCACCATTTCCATCATTTATTCAGTTATTTTAGTCACATCCTATGCCACAGGGATAAAAGACACACCCTCTACTCTCAAAAAGTTCATACTCTGAAGAGGAGAGTTTGTAATGTAGTCTGATAGGCTAACTGATGAAGCTGTGATCAGCCACTGTGGGAGCACTTAGGAGAGGTACCTGACTCAGTCTGGGCATTCTAGGAAGGCTTCCATTCTAGGAAAGACTTCCTGAAATCATGATAACTTTTCTGAAGTCAGGATATGAGAAGGCCAAGAGGCCTTCCAGACAGAGGTAACAGAATATGCAGCCTGGTAAAGAGAGCACCCAACTTAGTTGCAAGCAAAGTCACAAACTCCTCACCCATCCCAGGGCCCTGCACTGACATTGCAGTTTTTTCCTTGGCCCACAGGAAATCTGTGCCGCTGCACAGGCTACAGACCCATCCTCCAGGGCTTCCGGACCTTTGCCAGGGTAAGTGGGGACCCCAGAACATCAGTGTCTCTGCTTCTAAAATGGCAACACTCAGAAATCACTGTGGGGAGGGAGACCAAGGGCCTCTGGTCTACAAACAATGATGATAAGATGACCAGTTAGTGAGTCTTCCCTCTGGGGACATCTGGCATGGGGAGTAGAGTCTGCCATTCTTATTCAGGGAAGGGTTCTTATGAATAGCATGGGACTTTCTGCCAGTGATGGTCTGGAGACCGGCTTCCTGGAAGAGGCTCACCGCCTGAGAGTGCCTTTGAGCTTGGCAGTGCCTTTGGGCTTGGCAGCTTTCCCTTGGAGACTGGCAGGCTCAGCCCATGGCACAGGTGCTGAATGTAGCATTTAATAACAACGTGGCCTTGCTCAGCACTTGCACCCCTCCTCCTTCCCTCTCCTGGCTGCTTTCTGTGGCTGGCACTCTGTTGGGCTTATGAAACTGGTAATTAGATCTCCAGACAGTTTGTGAACCCCTGCAATGTTCATATAACTCTGAGTGAGAAGTCACAGCCGGATGTGTGGGCATTGATTATATAAACACATACACACACCTGCCATCTGGCAAGGAAGGCAGAGAGCTGGCATCTCCTTTCTTGGCTTAATCTCCCCCCAGGTTTTACTTGACTTCTCAATTGGGCCACGTTAATCCTGACTCCAAATCAAACCATCTCATTTCAGTTTGATTCTGGGTCCAGGGGAGTTACAGACTCCTGTGCTTTCCACTCACCTTTAGGGTTGGAGCATCATGAAAAAGAGTGCTGTGTCTGTATAATCGTATAATCCAAGAAGGGGTGGGTAAACAAGGAGACAGGACCTTATAAGGATGGAAAACACCACACTCTGATTAATGCTGCTGCTGATGAAGAATTAACAAGTGTGGAATTAAATGAAAATGCCTAAAAGCACAAATTCAGATTCTGCAGACCTGGGTTCAATTTGAGGCACTTAATTGATGCACGACCTTGGGCAAGTCTCCTTGTTTCTATTAGGTTGGTGCAAAAGTAACTGTGGTTTTGCCATTAAAAGTATGGGAAAAACTGTAATTATTTTTGCACCAACCTAATAAAATGGTGATTTTATTAGGTGATTTCATTAGAATATCTACCTTACTGTGTTTATAAAAATTAAGTACTTCTTGAAAAGCTTTTAGAACAATGCCTGGCACATTTCTGTTATTCAATAAATGGGAACTATAAATTATGAAGCTGGTATATTTCTTCCAGTAGCCTCTATATAATCTTCCCAAGTTACTCACTGTTTCCTGAGACCCAGAGATTGTTAATCTTGCCTCTATTTACTTCATAAGAACCTGCTCAAAGTGATATAATGTAATCAGTCCTCTTAATTTTTCAAAAGAGAAGGATTTTTGAGTATAGCAGTTGCCTTCCCTCCTGGAAGTTGAAATCGCTCTTGATTTCACCATGCAGAACTTACCTCCCTCAATTCAGCTACCCTGCAGTGCAGAGCAGAGCAAGACTGAGAGCTCTGAGCAGCCAAAATGCCTGACACACAAAAGGTGCTCAGAAGCTAATGCATGTTACTCATCGGAGGTCTCCGAGATGTTTCTTCAGAGCCTTTTTACTTTTATTTTACACACAGCTCTAACAAACTCGGTTACTAGCTTTCCTGTCCACAGCACACACTAGAAAGCGTGTGGAGGGTCAACTAGAGGTGGGCACACTGCTCACGGCGAGAAGTGACCACAGCTATCTGGTGACAAGGAAAGAAATGGAGGAACCATTAAACAGGTACAAGCAAGACTTCCAGTTTCTGGTCTGGCATGTAAGCAGCTTAGGAGTCTTTATTTCATCTAAACAAGAAGAAAAAGGCTGAACAAACTGAAGAATCAACAGTTGTTTTTAGATCCATCAGAGGAATGAGGTCACAGGACAACTCATTGTCCAAAAAATTGGAGAGACAGACAGGCAGACACGGCATATCAGAGCAGAAACCTCTGCAGGAACCTTTGCCAGGATAGGAAGATGTAAGGACTAACTGATGAATTGCTGGAGTTTATACATGGATATAAACTCCAGGGGGATGCAGTCATGGAGCGGGTGCTCTACACCTTTGTGAGTTTTACCTCCAGGATCTCCACCAGGTCCTCACAGTAAATGTTGGAGAAAAATCTCCTTGTGTTTCTGGTAGGGAGTGGGAAAAATGAACCATTTTGGAATATGCCAGAGCATTCTGTTCTTCTTAAAAAGGCCTGTCCTCAGAAGAAATTATTTTACCGCAGCCTAAACTTCTGAGGTTATATTAGATCCTCGCCTACCTTGGGGAGGGGAAATACGCAACCCCAGGACCTTTAGTCTTTCACCTGTGGGAAGGGAAATACACAAGCCCAGCCCCCTCCAGCCATCCTGTCCCACCAAACGGAGAAAAAAAACCCTGAGAAGCGCTTGTGAAGTTCACAGGTGAGCGGCACAAGCTCACCAAAAAACTGAGACTAATCCTAGGACTATAGGATACTTCTCCTTCATATCTTACCAATACATTAACTAAAGGCCTATTTATATGAGGTCTTTTCAGCCAGTACATCATGTCCACCTTTCAACCAAAAATTATAAGGCATAGTCAAAGGCAAACACAATTTGAAGAGACTGAACAAACAGCAGAACCAGAGTCAAATAGGACAGGAATATTGGAATTAACAAATGAGGAATTTTATAAAGCTATGATTAGTATGCTAAGAGATTTAATGGAAAAAATAGATAACATACAAAAACAGATGGATAATGTAAGCAGAGAACGGAAATTCTAAGAATTAAAAAGAAATGCTAGAGATTGAAAACGCTTATAACAAATTGAAGACTACCTTCGGTGGGCTCATTAGTAGACTGGACATGGCTGAGAAAAGAATCTCTGAGCTTGAGGATATGACAATGCAAACTTTCAAAACCAAAAAACAGAGAAAAGGAAGTGAATGAAAACAAACAGAAACAAATAAGAACTGTGTGATAACTACAAAAGATGTAACATATGTGTAACGAGAATATCAGCAGTAAAAGAAGAAAAAGAGAAAGGAAAAGAAGCAATATTTGAAACAAAAATGACTGAGAATTTCCCAAAATTAATGTCAGATTTTAAACCACAGAGTCAGGAAATTCAGAGAACACAAACCAGGATAAGTACCAAAACCCAAAACCAAACAAAAACTATACCAAGGCATGTGATATTCAAACTTCAAAAAATCAAAGGTAAAGAAAAATGACTTGAAAGAAGCCAAAGGAAAACACCCCTCACCTATAGAAGAGCAAATATAAAATTATATCTGACTTTTCCCAGAAACCATGCAAGCAAGAGGCATGGAGAGAAATACTTAAAGTATTGAAAGAAAAAACCAAAGCACCTAAAATTCTGTAACCTCCGTAAGTATCCTTCAAAAGCGAGTGAGAAATATTTTCTCAAACAAAACTTGAGATAATTTGTTGCCAGTAGACCCATCTTGTAAGAAATATTAAAAGAAGTTCTTTAAAGAGAAGGAAAATGATGTAGGCCAGAAACTCAGATCTACATAAAGGAAGAGCATGAGAGAATGAACAAGTAAAGGTAAAATAAAAATTTTTATTTTTCTTAATCTTAATTGGTCTAACAGATAGCAATTTGTTCAAGACAATCATAGCAACCATGCATTTGTTTATGTGTGCATATGTATATATATATGTGCTTGTGTATAAGTAAAATGAATGACAACAATGATAAAATAAACAAGAGGGAAAAATTAGAAATATTTTGTTATTATAAGATACAATCACTACCTGTAAAGCGGTGTAGTGTTATTTAAAAGTGGACTTGGATTAGTTAAAAATGTATACTGCAAACTCTAGGGCAACTACCAGAAAAAAAAAAAAAGAAAAAAGGAAGTATAATTGATACTTTATGAAAGGAAAGGAGATGAAATTATATATAATGCTCAGTTCAAACCACAAAAGTCAGAAAATGAGTGAAAGACAAAACTAGAAACAAAGAATAAGGACGACAAATAGAAAACAATAACAAATATGGTAGATACTAATCCAACTATATCAATGATTACCTTAAATGTCAGTGATCTAAATACACCATTTAAAAGACAGAGATTGTTAGAGTAGATGAAAATAACAAGACCCAACTATATGTTGTCTACAAGAAACCTACTTTAAATGAAAAGACACAGATAGATTAAAACTAAGTAGATAAAGAAAGGTGGACCATGATATACTAATCGAAAGAAAGTGGAAGTAGCATATTAATTTTGGACAGAGCAAACAGTTATCAGAGAAAAAGAGGGGCATTAAAAATAATAAAGGAATCAATACTCCAAGAAGATATAACAGTCCTTAATGTGTGTGCACCTAACAACAGAGCTTCAAAATACATGAGGCAAATCTGGTGGAACTGCAGAGACAAATAGATGAATCCATTATTATATGTGAAGACTTCAACACCCTTATATCAGAAATGGACAGCACCAGGCCAAAAATCAGTAAGGACATAGTTGGACTCAACGGCACCATCAATTAATTGGATATAATTGACATTTATAGACTACTTTAGCCAACAACAGCAGAAAAGACATTTTTCTCAAGCTCACGTGGAGCATTCACCTAGATGGACCACATTCTGTGCTATGAAACACACATTTACAAATTTAAATTGCATGAATAGAGATCATACAATGTCTGCTTTCAAACCAAAATGAAATTAAACTAGATATCGATAACAGAAAGATAGCTGGAAAACCCCCAAATGCTTGAAGATTAAACAACACAATTCAAAAGAACACATGGTCAAAAAGAAAATCTCAAGGGAAATTTTAAAATATTTTGAATTAAATGAAATTGAAAATACAGCTTATCAAAATTTGCAAGATGCAGTGAAAACAATGCTTAGAGGGAAATTTATAGTATTGAATGCATATATTAGAAAGGAAGATTAAAAATCAATAATCCACCAGGCACGACGGCTCATGCCTGTAATCCCAGCACTTTGGGAGGATGAGGCGGGCGGATCACGAGGTCAGGAGTTCAAGACCAGCCTGACCAACATGGTGAAACCCTGTTTCTACTAAAAATACAAAAATTAGCCAGGCATGGTGGCACACACCTGTAATCCCAGCTACTCAGGAGGCTGAAGCAGGAGAATCACTTGAACCCAGGAAGTGGAGGTTGCAGTGAGCCAAGATTGCGCCATTGCACTCCAGCCTGGGTGACAGAGTGAGACTCCATTTCAAATAAATAAATAAATAAATAAATAATAAAAATAAAATACAAATAAAATCAGCAATCTGGGCTCCCACTTTAGAAAACTAGAAAAAAAAAGGCAAATTAAATTCAAAGTAAGCTGAAGAAAAATAAAATTTGGAGCAAAAATCAATTTCATTGAAAACAGACAATCAATAGAGAAAATCAACATAACTGAAATTTGGGTCCTTAAAAAGATCAATGAAATTAATAAGCCTCTGGCCAGGCTAACTAAGAAAAAAAAGAGAAGATCCAAGTTACTAATATCAAAATAAAAAGATCTCACTATAGAGCTCATGTACATTAAATGGATAATGAAGGAATATTAAGAACAACTCTATGCTCATATACTTGATAACCTAGATGAAATAAAACAATTCCTTGAAAGATGTAAGCTACCAAAACTCATACAAAAAGTAGATAATCTGAATAGGCCTATAACTATTGAAGAAATTGAATCATTAATTAATAACCTTTAACACAGAAAGCACCAGGCCCAGATAGATTCACTGGTAAATCCTATCAAACATTTAAAAAAGAAATTATGTCAATTCTCCACAATCTCTTCCAGAAGATAGAATCAGAGGCAATACAAAAGTTAATCACTTTCATATGTAACAGCAATGTATAAGTGGAACTTGAAATTCAAAACACATTATCATTTACGTTTTACATTAATACTCTCCAACAAATGTAATACTTAGGTATGAATCTAAAAAGTGTGTACAAGATTTATGTGAGAAAAACTACAAAACTCTGATGAACAAAATCAAAGAACTAAACAAATGGAGAGATATTTCTTTTTCATGAATAAGGAGACTGAATATGTCAAGATGTCAGTTGTTCCCAACTGTAGACTCAATGCAATCCCAATCAAAATCCCAGTAAATTATTTTGTGGCTATCAACAAATTGATCCTAAGGTTTATATGGAGAAGAACAAGATCCAGAATAGCCAACTCAATATTGAAGGAGAATAGAGAACAAAGTCAGAGGACTGACACTACCCAATTTCAAGATTTACTACAAAGCTGCAGTTATCAAGACAGTGTAGTATGGACACTGTCCATACTACAAAAAGAATGGACAAAAGAATGGACAAAGAGATCAATGGAACAGAATAGAGAGCCCAGAAATAGACCAACATAAATACAGTCAACTGATGTTTCACAAAGAAGAAAAGGCGATACGATGGAGCAAAGATTGTCTTTTTAATAAATGGTGCTGCAACAGTTGGACATTCACATACAAAAAAAAATGAATCTAAACACAGACCTTATACACTTCTCAAAATTAACTCAAAATGAATCATAAACCTAAGTGTAAAGCAATAAAACTCCTAGAAGATGACATAGGAGAAAACCTAGATGACCTTGGAATGATGATGACTTTTTAGATGCAACACCAAAGGCATGATCCATAAAAGAAATAATTATAAGCTGGACTTCATTAAAATTTAATAACGATGAATGAGGAGACAAGCGGTACACTGGGAGAAAAATATTTGCAAAAGACACATCTTGTAAAGTACTTATCCAAATATACAAAGAACTTATAAAACTCAGCAATAAGACAATGAACAACTAAATTAAAAAATGGGTAAAAGACCTGCACAGCTACCTCACCAAAGAAGGTATATGGATGGCCAGTAAGCATATAAGTTCGACATCATATGCCATTAGGGAATTGCAAATTGAAAGAACAGTGAAATACCACCACAGGTCTATTAGAATGGTCAAATCCAAAACACTGACAACATCAGATTCTGGTGAGGATGTGGGGCAACAGGAACTCTCATTCATTGCTGGTGAGAATGCAAACTGCACAACCACTGTGGAAGACAATTTGGCAGTTTCTTACAAAACTGAACATGTCTTATCATGCACCTCAGTGATCACACACCTTGGAACTGACTCAAAGGAATTTAAAACTTATTGCCACATGAAAACCTGCACAGGCATGCTTACAACAACCTTACTCATAATTGCCAAAACTTAGATGCAACCAAGATGTCCTTCAGTAGGTGAATAAACTGTAGAACATCCAAATAATGGAATGTTAATTCAGTGCCAAAATGAAAGGAGCTATCAAGCTATGAAAAGACATAGACAAACCTTAATTGCTACTACTAAGTGAAAGAAATCAATCTTTAGAAGCTACATATTGTATGATATCTATTCTATGAAATTCTAGAAAAGACAAAACCATGGAGGCAGTAAAAAGACTAGTGGTTGCCAGTGATTAGGGGAAACAGAGGGATGAATAGTCAGGGTACAGAGGTTTTTTAGGGCAGTATAACTCTTTCTGTAAGATATCATAAGGGTCAACACCTGTAATCATGCATTTGTCAAAACCAATGGAATGTACAACACCAAGAGTGAACCTTCATGTAAATTAATGGACTTTGGGTGATAATGATGTGTCAATGTGGGTCCATCAGTTGTAACAAATATGCCACTTTTGAGGATACTGAAGTGAGAAAGGTTGTGCGTGTATGTTGGGATAGGGGTATTTGGGAATTCTCTACATCTTCCACTCAGTTTTTTCTGTGAACCTTAAACCACTCTAAAAAAAAAACTTTTTTTTTTAAAGGCACCAGTGCAGAAGCCTTAGCCTATTTAGTAAAGTAGGAATCTCAGGAGGGTGGGGATGAGAAAATGTAGTCTTATCCAACCTCAATAGACCTTGAGGGCAGTGATGCATTACTGTACATCACAGTAATTTATGTCATTAACACACCAATGAATTATCAAGAAAATAGATCTAAGTAATAATGCACTGGCACTTTGTCTGGAAAAGGCGCTTCTGTGAAATATGTCCTTCCTCAGAGGGCCAGGTGAGTGGGATGCAGGACTTTCACTTCAGGTAGGCCAGGGCATTTCCCTACATCACTCCTTCTCCAAGAAGAAAGGTGAGAAAAGGCACTAAGAAACCTCTCTTTCTTCCTTTCTTTCTTTCTAAATATAGAGGGGAAGTGCAAGGTGGCTGGCTGGGGGGAGGCTCAGAATGGACGGAGCAGGTCTGGTGTCCAGTGCTGGAGCTGTGAATGCAGGAAGAGTCTGCACACGGAGCAGCGTGTCCAGGTGGTGGGGTGGGTGGGGTGTTTCTCTCCTGATGCCACTGCCTGCCTGCTTACAACTTCTCCAAGGTCACACCTCCAGCATCCCATGAGTGCTTTCTTGCAGAAGACAACGAGTTGTGAAACAGACTCTGGAAAATGCCAGCATGGCATGGTGTCTCCTGTGGCTGACTTGCAGAAGGACTGCTCCCAGCCTGCTTTTTCAGGAATTGACTACCCGATAAAAGTGCCTGAGGCAGAACCTATGAGTTTCCCCTACTTTTTCATCTCAGCACAACTCCAGGACTCTGTCTTCTGAAGCCCTGAGCTGCAGATCAGTCAGCTGAGTGCGCCCCTCTGCCACCCTGCAGTGCCTCGGTGCTGGGTGGTAGTGATTCTAGACTCTGTGTGTGCTCTGCCACTGGTATCCTAAGAGGTCCTGAGCAAGTCTTTTCCCAGAGATGCTGGGTGGTCTGACCTGCATACTTCTCCAGAACAGGCCCACAGTGAGGAGTGAAGGGTGTTTACCTTTCTGGGAAGAAGTGCCTAATAAGCAGTAGGGAGGCCATTGGGCACACTGGCTGGACACAGTGCTGGGCTCAGCACCCGTCTTGGACATCCTTTGGCAGGGTCCTGCAGAGAGCCCAGCCTGGGAGACACCAGCCACGCCCCTAGAACCTTGCTGATCTGGAAGTCAAGCCTCTTGAGTCTTGAGAGAGCCAATGGGAATATCCCTCATAGACGCTTCCTGAGGAAGCAGCACTGAAGAAGAGAAATGGGCATAAGGGATAGGTTTTGATAAAGTAGGACCTAGCTTTTATGGAGAAAAGTTCCTGAAATTCAGTGGCCTTGTTGCTCCTATTTGTTTATCCATGAGTTGTTTAATCTACGTTAGCCAAGCAAGAGGGAATGTAGCGGAGGCCTCCACTCTGGGCAACAGGCAGGCAGGATGCCCCTGCTGTTGATGCTGGGACAGGCGTCAGAGCTGGAGTGTTCTGGATATTAGTAATCTAGATTCCTTAGCTTCTGCAAATACTCTTTGTAAATACCCTTGTGCAGATGTTCATCATCTCTCTAGGATGGTGGATGCTGTGGAGGAGATGGGAATAATCCAAATTGCTGCATGAACCAGAAGAAAGACCACTCAGTAAGTGAGTTCTTCTCCCCCTGGAAGCCTGGGGGTAATCTGAGACTTAGAGGAGTCAGTGCACGAGCTCCATGTCCCTGGCGGTGGGGGCTGGAAGAGGAACCTACGGTGAGTCGGTGATGGCAGACTGTGGGGATGGTGATGGTGCACGTTAGCCCCGGGTCCTGTAACTGAGACTCTCTCATTCCTGCCTCCCAGGGATTACCTGCTCCTCTTGCAGCCTGCAGGGGGCTGGGAATGAGCTTGCTGGAAGGAAAGGCTGAATTGGTCCTCTTGGGTGTTTGAAAGGAGGAGATACTGCATCACCTACCTGTTCTCTTTCCCCATAGGTCAGCCTCTCGCCATCTTTATTCAAACCAGAGGAGTTCACGCCCCTGGATCCAACCCAGGAGCCCATTTTTCCCCCAGAGTTGCTGGTAGGTGATGCCTCAGGGACAGATCCAGCCGGGTCTGTACTGTGAGTCCCTGGAAACCTGCTTTATTTTCATACCCACTGGGAACTTTGTGTCTTTCTTGTCCTTTATGTTTCAGCTTAAATTTCCCTTCCATTTTCTGACACTCCCCTAGGTTGAGTCTCTGCTATGTGTACCCACAGCCCCTGCACTTCAGTTCATGTGTGTCACAGTTACAGTTATTAATTTGATGTCTGTGTTCCTTGCTAAATGACAAGCCCCATGAGGATAGGGACTGGCTCTCTAGGCACACTGTGTAGTGTAGCAGGTTCACTATAACCATTTGTTGATCTCCTGCCTATATCTAATACATAAGCACTCCAAGAAACGTATTCCCTCTATAAGCAATCCATTTATTTAAAACAAAACAAAACAAAACAAAAAACGAGAGCTCTCTTCAAAGGACATGATCTGCAGCTCACAGCTCTGTCTTAAGGAAACCCCCTCACACCCACTTTATCACCATCACTCTAATATTTATGGCAACGAAAGAATCAAGCCACTCGGAGTTTTTGAAGTGCACACTTCTCAGAGTTTTGAGCTATGAAAACTACCTTGTAGCTTCAACAGGCCAGAGAGAATGGCTTTGCAGCAGGCCACCAGCAGATCTTTCTCTGGACTGTGAAACTTTGAAAATACTGGCAGTTCGATTTGAGGGCTTCGTTCTCAGCCCAGTGTCTTCCTGCAAGCACTAAAGCCAGCCTTCCTAGGCATCCCCTTATAACAAACTCCTTCCTTCCTTCCTTCCTTCCTTCCTTCCTTCCTTCCTTCCTTCCTTCCTTCCTTTCTTCCCTCCCTCCCTCCCTCCCTCTCTCCCTCCCTCCCTCCCTCTCTCCCTCCCTCCCTCCCTTCTCATGCCTTGTCCATGGTGCCCCCTGGAGATATTATGGGGCACTGCAAGGAATCTGGCTTTCAGCCAGGTCTGTTGGGGACCCCTCATGGCAGGTGACCTTCAGCAGGTCCCATAACCTCCTTGACCCTCAGGATCTTCTTTCACTGGTGAAAATGAGGCTCATAATGCCTCCTTCATGGAAGTCTTGTAAAGACTAGTCCCAATGGAGTTCCTGCCTCTGAACATATTACTTCCCCTTGCTTCTTCCTGTTAGATATTTTCATTCTGAATGTCAGTAAAACATCCCATTGAGGACTTAAAGCAATTTATAAGAGGAATGACAGTAGGAAGAGGGAGACAGTGTAGTAAGAAAACTGCATTTCCCAGAGGCTGAAAGACACTCCTCGGAAGCAGCTGCGATTTGAAGGGGAGCGTGTGACGTGGATACAGGCCTCAACCCTCAAGGAGCTGCTGGACCTCAAGGCTCAGCACCCTGACGCCAAGCTGGTCGTGGGGAACACGGAGATTGGTAAGGGCCAGGGAGGCTGCCCTGGGGCTGCCAGGGGGTCTGGGGGTGTTTCTAGGTCCTCTTGCCCATCCTCACCTCCCCCTGACTTTACTTGCCTCTGCACCCTATCCCTCTGCCCCACTGACTACCTGGAGCCCACTGGAAATCCCTGGACACTCCAGTTCCTGCAAAGGCCCCTAGCTGTGGAGTCCCACAGGCCTGGCTCAGCCCCTTGCTGGATGTGTGACCTCAGAAAAGTTGCTTGTCCTCATCTACCCTCATTTTCTGTTTTTTATATGGGGATACTAACAACTCCTTGAAGGATTGTTTTGGGTGTGAAATGAGATCCTTGCATGTAGTTGACTTCTCTCCACAAACATTTACAGAGCACCGAGCATGAGCCAGGTACTCTGGAAGGGGCTTGGGATACAAAGCTCAATTGGACATGGTTCCTTGCCTTCAAGGGCCTTCTAGTCTAAGGGAGGAGGAACTAATTTAAGCAAAGTGTCTAGGCCAGTGGCTGATGGACACTAGAGGTTCCATAAATGTCGCTTTTGACCCCACCACCCCACTTTTTCTGGGGGAGGATGTGATAAGGTAAAGAAGAGGAGAGCTCCAGGTGTGACTGTGTTTGTGTTGCCTATGACCATGGCCACCTGCCCTGTCAGTGCTACCACCTAGGACGTGAGGCCTGGAATAGTTGAACAGGCTGGGAGACTCAGAATATGCACCTCTCAGCCCCAGTGCTGTAAGAGATGGGGAGAGGTTCCCAGGTCCCTGCTAATCTCTGTCGATTTCTAAACCTGGCATGGCCTATTTCTACTTTGCTGGATCCCAAGCCTAGTGAGGATCTAAGGAGGAGACCGTGGGACAGCTGAGGACCTCTGCTGTGGAGGGGCATGCTCTCCTTCTAAGCAGTCAGGTCCTGGCTCTGGTTCCTGAAGGAGCTGCCAAGCCCTGAGTTCTGGTTGGCTCCTCAGCCACAGAGAGGAGAGCCTGGCTTGGGTCAGTGCTGATGGAGTCAGAATGGACGCCTCCCTCGTGCGCACATATACATAAGATAGAGTCCCCAACTGTGGTTTTGTGACACACTGAGGCAGCAGGGTGGGCTGAGACACACCTCAAGAAATGTGATCTTGATGGCCATGGCTCAACAGGACTCATGGCTCATGTAGCTCAGGTGTAGCTTGATTTAAGGTGGCTGGGGGAATCTTAGGAGGTCCTTCTTTTTTTTTCCTCAAAGACAGGGTCTCACTCTGTTGCCCAGGCTGAAATACAGTGGTGCAATGTCACCATAGCTCACCTCAAACTCATGGGCTCATGTGGTCCCCCACCCCAGCCTCAAGGGGATCATTTCACACTTGCATGCTCCCTGCCATGAGCCATCCAATGTCCTGGGCCCAGTTGGATTCCAAGAGAAATGAATAACAAAGATTACCTAAGTTCCACAATTAGAAATGATTTCTCAAGACCATTTCCTTCTGCGCCACTCCCTTCTCTCTTATACATACCCCAATAGCATAGTCACCTCCAGTCAACGCAGAGTGTTGGGGGAAGGCAGACAAAGAGAAAACCTTAGTAACGTAGAACTTGCTGCTTCAATCTGTGTTCTTTGTCCTGGAAGCTGATATTCAAAAGGGGCTGGTATTCAGGTGCTTCTAGGATTTCTGAAGGGAGCTTTGAAGATTCTGGAATCTGGGGATCCACAAAGCCTAGGGCCCCCTTCAGAAATCCTAAACAGCACCTGGGGGGAAGGGGGGGCAAAGAGGTCACAGGTATTTCTTTTTTAACCTTTTCCATCTATACACTGTTGGCAGGGCTGGGAGAGGTGCTGAGCCAACTGGGTCTAAGGAACAGAGGCACACTTGTTTAACAGAGGCTTCTGACTCATTTAGTCAGGAAGGCCAGAAACCACACACAGATGTGTGGCCCCGCAAAGCCAGACAACTTGAAGAACTCAGGCAGATAGTGGGAACTGGAGGACAGATTTGAAGTTTTCCCTCCCATTTTCCTTTTTTGTTTTAATGTTAAACTTTCATGTTTTTATTACGATTATACCCCAACACGAATAATCATTCCAGTACTGAAATTTGGTTATTCTTAGCTGTGTGATTTGGGCAAGAAACTTAACTTTTCTGTGCCTCAGCTTCTTCATCTATAAACAGAAAAATCATAGTACCTCATAGGGTTGTTGTGAGCATTAATTAAGTTAAAATAGGGAAAGTGCTTAGAAGGGTTCCTGACATACCTTAATTTCCTGTGTTTTCTAATGTACACAAACACACACACACACACACACACACACACACACACACTAGAGTGAATTCAAACTCATTTCATTTGAATTCAGGTAGGTTTTTTGAGAGGGAAAGAAAGACCTAGTTTTGGGCTGACAGTCCAAAGACTGCATCTAATCCCACCCCTGGTCTACTGAGTTTCCTATTCCCAGACACCTACAGTCACCAGAGAGCATATTATGATTGTGGATATGTCATATATCCTGTGTGTAATGGTGAGAAAAGCTGCTAAGGCCTGCCCTGGTGATACAACAATGGGCCTACAACTTCAGCTTCTTGTTTCTCTCTAGGCATTGAGATGAAGTTCAAGAATATGCTGTTTCCTATGATTGTCTGCCCAGCCTGGATCCCTGAGCTGAATTCGGTAGAACATGGACCCGACGGTAAGAGGAGGTTCACTCCAAGCTTATGGAGGGGCTGTGAGGCTGGGGATAGGTTACAAGGTGGGTGGCAGGTATCAGGGTGGTCTCCCCACTGGCTCTGGCTGCCCCCTGCTTCTCCTGGGGCTCACCTTGCACAGGGAAAGGCGGGAGGAGACCCCATTCATTGCTGAAACATCCATGGTAGGGTGCCAGTGGGCAAGAGGCTGCGGGATCTTCAATCATTTTTCTCAATTCTGGCTACACATTAGAATCACTCATGCGGGGGTGGGGAGGTGGGGATTGTGCCTGAGTGCTTTTAAAAAGAATGCTAGGACTTCACCTTCAGAGATTCTGATTTTAATGAGTTGAGAACTACTGGTTTAGAGGAAAGAGCATTGGTTGTAGGATCAAGAGGCCCAAGCTTGAGTACTGGCTCTTTTATTAGCTGTGTGGCATTGGTTAGGTCACTCAACCACTCTGGGCCCTCATTTCCTCATCCATGGAAAGCTGTGAGTCCTGATTCAGCCTTGCTCCAGTTGCTGGAAAGCTTCAGAGGAGCTGTGCATGAAAGCCTCTTCTGAACTGTGGGAAGAATTGCTGTGATTCCGAACGTGCGTTCCCAGGTATCTCCTTTGGAGCTGCTTGCCCCCTGAGCATTGTGGAAAAAACCCTGGTGGATGCTGTTGCTAAGCTTCCTGCCCAAAAGACAGAGGTGTTCAGAGGGGTCCTGGAGCAGCTGCGCTGGTTTGCTGGGAAGCAAGTCAAGTCTGTGGCGGTGAGTCGCTCTCAGAAGCAAGCGAGGCCCGTAGGATGGAGCTTTCATCTGAAAGCAGGGCAGCCAGACTCTCACTGTGTCAGTGCAGTGGGCCTCAAACTTTAGCGCTTAGAGTTGCCTGGGAGGAGCAGTGCTTGTTAAAGTGCAGATTCCTGGGCCCCACCCTCAGAGATTCTGATACATGGGTCTGGGATGTAGCCCAGCTCTTCAGGTGCTTCTGATGAAGGTGGTCTGTGGGGCACCCTGGGAAATGCACTCCACGACTCATAGGCTTCATTCTGTGGTTGCAGAGATGAGGCTTCCTGCCTCCCTCCCCCTTCCTGAGCTTGGCTGAGCCAAACAGTAGGTGAACAAGAGATATGGATATGCTAGGGAGAAGTCAGAATTGAGAGGGGAATTTCCTTTCAGAGCTATAGGGAGAACCAGAGACAGAGCCCTCCCACAGAGGGAGGAATACACCTGTTGATTATTCAGTCAGCCTTCAGACAAGTCCCCACATTCCCAGTTTGCAAATGGTGGCATTCGAACACCCTATGCCAATGGAAGCTCTTCACAACAGTTTATGGTGTCGGAAGAAAAGCTATCTCTTCCATTTTTAAATTGTTTTTTTAAATTAAAACAAAACAGCCTACTCCTATTCCTCCCAGCCCCCACCCCAAGTACCTGTCACTTCTGATTATAGATAAGGAAACATAAACTGTAGATAAGGAAACATAAACTCAAAAACTCTGCTGAGTTCCCTAGTTCTGCTAAAATCTATTTCCAGGAAGAATTGTATTTTCATCGTGCAACTGATTTTCTTCCTGTTTTCTAATAACGAGAACCCTGTATCTGATTCTTCTTACATTTTTTTTGCCAAGTTACCAGGAAGTTCAGATCCAAATAGAGCAAATTGTTCAACCTTAAGTCTTCCTCCTCTCTTTCCTTGATCTTTATCTTCTATTTTACTAAGTCTATATGGCCTCTGTGATAAATCACCTCAATCCTTTCGGGAAAAGGTTGGGTGAAATCATCAATCAAACACACACACTTAAAGGGGCTTGCCTGCTAAAATTTTAGAGTGGGGATCCAATCTCAAGTATTCTGATTTCAAATTTTGCGCATTTTTCAGAATGCCGAAGTTCTCACTATGCTGGTATTGTGACTACAGTAGGCACAGGACCTCAGGGGTTTGCCTGCAGCAGGTGTCACCTGGCTGGTATGTTCAGGAGCCTGCTACGTGAGCAGGGGTTTCCTGGGGTGGGCTCTCACTGCATGCTCTCTGCTTGTTTTAGTCCGTTGGAGGGAACATCATCACTGCCAGCCCCATCTCCGACCTCAACCCCGTGTTCATGGCCAGTGGGGCCAAGCTGACACTTGTGTCCAGAGGTGAGCTGCCTGAAGCAGAGGTCCAGGAAGAAGGACTTGGGGGAGAAAAGTCTCACCAGATAGGTCATTTTCTGGAGAAACAGAGCTCAAAGTTCAGTGACCCAGCTTTCCCTGTGATTTGGATCCAGGGAAGCATGGAGAATGTACCTGGTTTGGTGGACGGGAAAGCTGGATATTTTCTCTGTAGAGAATTCACAGCAGGAACTGCTACCTGCATGCCTTACCTAGTGGGGTACTGGGGCTGGGATGCACTGGCTCACCACAGCCTGCTGTTGGATCTTCAGGAATTCTGTGAACCATTTGTGAAACACAGTTATTAATAAAAATCAGGCCAAGTGCGGTAGTGCGGTGGCTTATGCCTGTAATCCCAGCACTTTGAGAGGCTGAGGCAGGAGGATTACTTGAGGTCAGGAGTTCAAGACCAGCCTGGCCAACATGGTGAAACCCCATGTCTACTAAAAACACTAAAATTAGCTGGGTGTGGTGGTGTGTGCCTTTAGTCCCAGTTCCTTGAGAGGCTGAGTCAAGAGAATCACTTGAACCTGGGAAGCGGAGGTTGCAGTGAGCCGAGATCTCACCACTGCACTCCAGCCTGGGTGACAGAGTGAGACCCTGTCTCAAAAAATAAAAATAAAAATAAAATTGTATAAAATTACAATGAAATAAATTATATTCAAAACAAAAGGAATAAATACTCAAAATTCATCACTTCGTAAGTACTTCATTTTGCTGTTATCAGTGCTCCTGGAGTTATTTGCATCTGTTCTGTCTGTACGGTGGAAATGCTCTACAATTATGTGCTCCAGTGCATCTCTGCCTTGTCAGAGGGTCCCCAAGACCACCCCGGCTCTGATATTCACTGAGAGGATTCAGCATGCCGTCATATTCCTGGCTATGACTTATTATAGCAGGAGGATGCAAAATCAGCAAAGGGAAAAGATACATGGGAGCAAAGTCTGGAGGAACCAGGTCCAATCTTCCAGAGACTTCTCCCAGTGGAGCCACACAGTGCATGCTTAATTCCTCCAGCAATAAGTTGTGACAACACAAGTGATGCCTTGCCTACCAGGAAAGCTTGTTAGAGGCTCAGCGACAGAGGTTTTCTTGGGAGCTCATCACATAGGCAGCCTCTACTAGCATGTGCCTAAAGTCTGGACTCCCAGAAGGAAAGCAGGGGTTCAGCATAAACTATTGATTGTACAGATAATTTAGGCGCAGTGAGCTGCTCCATCATGGAGCACTGGGAACCCTTCTGAAGTACAAGTTCCCAAGGGCCAGCCTTGTAAGCAACCCCTACAGAGGACAGCAGTCCGGGTTGCTGTGCTAACTCTTTCCTGCCTTCTTCCCAGCTTCACATTCAGTGATGCAACTTTGGTGGCCTGGAAGTATTTACACCACAGAAATTGGCAAATGCTATAAACCAGGGCTTTTCCCCCTACACGGAACTGGTTGTTAAAGATTCACCAGCACACCATTGCTTAAGGATGCTTAAGGATTTCAGAGAGAGGATTTGGCCCCAATTGTGCCAGTCATTTGCTCTGACTGTGGGCATTGGAGACCAGCATGAAGAATCCCACTGATGGTTATCCTTTCTCCCCATGGGGGGTTCCCAGCCTTTCCCTCACTTTGGCTCCTCTTCATCTTGCTTCTGTACAGGCACCAGGAGAACTGTCCAGATGGACCACACCTTCTTCCCTGGCTACAGAAAGACCCTGCTGAGCCCGGAGGAGATACTGCTCTCCATAGAGATCCCCTACAGCAGGGAGGTGAGATGTTGGAAGTGGTTCCAGGCTCTGCTCAAATAAGTCCTATTGCCAGGCTCTAGACAAAGAGATCAGAATCTGCTTCAGGGACCAACCTGAGCATCTCTCAACCTTTACATTGATGATTTTTCTCTCTGAACTTTGCCTCTGTTGAACCAACCATACTCCTTTCTGGACAATGAGAAGTTGCAGGATAGGAGTCCACATGGCATGGACTGTGGAACCAGATAGCTAGAAACTTGGTCCTGAGTGAGCCATTTCACCTTTCTGAGCCCCAATTCCCTTATCTGTAAAATGGGCACCATGTCACTTACTATACGGGTTATTGTGAGGACTGAAAATAAACAATTCATAAGGTTCCTGGTGATGCCTAGAAGCCAGTGGAGATGACCAGCAGCTAAGAACAGAATTCCAAGAACACATCTAGCTGTCGAGGATTCCTGCCCATGTCAGAGGAAATTTGCTTTCCCGTGGTAAAGAATGTGGGGTTCATGTGCTGCATGAAGAAGCTGCCTGTGGCTCAGACCCTCATACGCTGACCTTAGGCTTGACGAGGTGTTGCTTCACTGACCTCGCTGTGGATTGGTGCGGATGGATTCCTGCTTCATGAGTGGCTCTTCTGGCCTGTTGGGGCAGGTCTGGGCACCACTGGCTGCCTTCCTCTTTGTTCCCTGGGCCCTGTGATGTCTTGACCTGGTGTGGGTCTTTCCTCCCTTAGCAGCTACCAGCTCAGAACACATCCAAAAGGGCCTGTCAGAAAAGGCATCTGGGAGAGGCTTGGGGAGCCACTGTCAGAGAGAGTGTGAAGGTTTCCCACAGCTGGAGCTTTAGTGAGTGTTCTAAGGCATGTTTTGCCCTTGGTAATTTTGACCTCCTTAATGAGAATGCTAATTAAATTAGAGCATTTATATCCCTGAGGTGGTTTCTTAATGGTTTTCTAGCTTGTCTGTATAGACCATTTTGAGCAGTGATTCCCAGAGTTTTGAATTTCACAGTTCAGTAAACTTTTTTTTTTTAATTATGAGTGATGAAAGTGGGGAGGAAACAGGTGTAGCTCTATTCAGTTTTTATTTGCCAGGTATGGTCATTAACAAAACACATCCTTCCATGAAAGAAAGGAGATTTTAATACCCAGAATTAGAAACTCTCAAGAAAGGGTATTGTCAGCCTGACACTGACAGTTCACTGTACCCCAGCGAGAATGTCCCCGTGGATGGGCACAGTCCTGGGAGTGAGCACCTGGGACCTCTGTTCCAGAACAAAGGTCAAACTCTGGGCTCAGTGCCCCAGAGCCACACATGACATGCAAGCTGAGCTAGCTTTATCATCAGGAGCGGGCTCCATGGCTTCTTCAGGGAAAAGTGGGTGGCCATTTGGGGGCCTCAACTGTGGGCCTCATTGTGCTTTTTCCAATAGATCTCCTCTCCCTAAACCTGCTAATTTTGGTGTTCATCAGAATTTGTGGTGCCAGAGTGAGTACAGACCTCAAAAGGAACCTGACACAGAAAGGGCCTGAAGTCAGGTGGCTCTTTCCTGGAAAATAGCTCATGCTCTCCTCCTATCCTTAAAGAAAGATCCTGGCTCGAACCCAGGAAGGAAAATGTGTTTAAAGCACAAGGGCAGTGATTGTTTCATAGTGTGATAGTGATATTTTCTTTCTTGCTTGCTTTCTTGCTTTGCTTGCTTGCTTGCTTCCTTCCTTCCTTCCTTCCTTCCTTCCTTCCTTCCTTCCTTCCTTCCTTCCTTCCTTCCTTCCTTCCTTTCTTTCTTTCTTTCTTTCTTTCTTTCTTTCTTTCTTTCTTTCTTTCTTTCTTCCTTTCTTTCTCTTTCTTCTCTTTTTTTTTGAGACAGATTCTCACTCTGCCTGCTGGCCCAGGCTGGAGTGTGGTGGCATGATCACGGCTCAGTGTGGCCTCAATGTCCCAGGCTCAAGTGATCCTCTCACTTCACCCTCCCAAGTAGCCGAGACCACAGGTGTGCACCACCACACCTGGCTAATTTTTTTTTTTTTTTGTAGAGATAGGGCCTCACTATGTTGCCTAGGCTGGTCTTGAACATTTGGTTTTAAGTACTCCTCCCACCTAGGCCTCTGGGATTACAGACGTGAGCCACTGTGCCCGGGTTCTTTCACCAAGATTTCTGAACGATGCCAACAGACTGGTGGGAGAGGCAGGTTAGAGAGGGCACTGTGGAGGCCACAAACAGAGGATGCCAAAGGCCAAACAGCCTCAGTCCCCAGAGAGGCTGGGTGGGCACTGATAGTGGGCACCAGGGTAGGGAAGGTAAGGGGGATGAGGGGTCTCTAAGGAGCCTTTGTGAAAGCACCCTTCTTCCCCTGCAGCTGTTGTTCAATGGAGACCACCCAGTTCTACTTTGTCCCTGACCCTCAGCTTTTCTGACTAGCAGGGAGAAATCCTGTTTTTTTTTTCAGCTTCTGGGAATGTTATCTGGAACCTCTCCTAAACAGGTGGTAATCAGTTACATTTGATCTTTGATTCCCGGGGCCAGTTCACCCACTGATGTGTGATGGTGTTATCCCCTCACCTCACCTCATAGCCCTGTGGTTTGGGTCTGCCATTTGCAGCCCCTACAGAGCAAGGTGGAAAACAGGCACCTTCCTGATCTCTTTTAGGGGGAGTATTTCTCAGCATTCAAGCAGGCCTCCCGGAGAGAAGATGACATTGCCAAGGTAACCAGTGGCATGAGAGTTTTATTCAAGCCAGGAACCACAGAGGTACAGGAGCTGGCCCTTTGCTATGGTGGAATGGCCAACAGAACCATCTCAGCCCTCAAGACCACTCAGAGGCAGCTTTCCAAGTAAGAGCTAACAGCACAATGAAACTGCTGCTAATGTTGCTGCTACTAATAGTATCATTGTTACTGCTGCTGCTACTATGACTACCAGTAGTATTACTATTGCTGCTACTACTACCATAACTACTGCTACTGCTGCTACTACTGCTACCACTTCTACTTCTACTATAACCACAGTTGCTACTACTACTATTACCGATACTACTACTAGTATTACTACTAGGAGTATTGCCACTGCTATGCTATTACCATTGCTGCTACTACTATTGTTACTATTATTGCAACTATAATTAATATTATGATTGCTACTACTCCAGCTGCTTCTACTAAAATTACTACTGTTACTCATTATTGCTATTACTATGACTACTGTTGCTACTACTATCACTGCAGCTATGATCACTGCTGCAATTCCTACTGTCACTATTATGATTAGTATTATTGCTGTTATTACTATTACTATTGCTAATACTACTGCTGCCTCTTCTACCGCTTACTCTATTAGTACTACTACTACTATTACTGCTGTTATACTAGTATTTTACTAATAACATTACTGCTTCTAATATTATTGCTACTGAAATTACTACTACTACTACTGTTACTGCTACTACTACTACTATTACTATTGCTACTAGTATTGCTGCTGCTACTATTACTACTAACAGTAGTATTACTGCTGTTATTGATGCTGCTGGTGCTATGACTGCTACTTTTTGGCATTGCTTCTGTTACTACTATTATTACTACTGTTGCTGTTGATTCTATGACAACTGCTTCTATGACTATTACTACTTCTACTACTACTATCTATCTTGTTACCACTACTGCAACTATTATTGCTGTTGCTAGTATTATTACTAGTAGTATTGATGCTGATGCTACTACTACTGCTCTGTTATTGCTACTATTGCTACCACTATGGCTGTGATTAGTACTACTGCTACTACTATTACTATTTCTATGGTTATTATATAACAGAAATTGTACCGAACACTTCACTAACATTATCCTAGGAAATCCTTACAGCACCCACATAGGATCAATAAAGCTTAACTTGGAGTTTGGTTCCTTGGTTCCGAAATTCCTGGCTTTGTCATTTACCAAATAGATAACATAAGTCAAGTTACTTAATCTCCGTGTGCCTCAGTTTTCTCATTGGTAAATGGGTGTAGGAATTTTGCTTACTACATTTTCAAATTTAAATTAAAAGTGAGAATTCATATAAAACACTTAAGATGTTGCCTGGCACATTGTGAGGACTTGATAGATTTTAACTGTTATTATTTTGGTGGTCTTTTAAAATTGTATCTATTTTTGAAGATGAGGAAACAGGCTCAATGAGATTAATTAAAGTTGCCTAAAGTCACCCAACTCTAAGTATCCAAGCCAAATTTTGAACCAAGCTTTGTACAGCTCCGAGGCCCTGGGCACACAGCTCTACACAAAGGGGTCTGGAGGGCTGGGCGGGAGCGCTGTCCCACGCCCTGCTCTCTGGCAGGCTCTGGAAGGAGGAGCTGCTGCAGGACGTGTGTGCAGGACTGGCAGAGGAGCTGCATCTGCCTCCCGATGCCCCTGGTGGCATGGTGGACTTCCGGTGCACCCTCACCCTCAGCTTCTTCTTCAAGTTCTACCTGACAGTCCTTCAGAAGCTGGGCCAAGAGAACCTGGAAGACGTGAGTGGGGCCTGGCCAGGCACAGGCTCTCTGTAGCATGTTTGGGGATATAAGAAGTTGGTCTGGGTAGTAAATTTGCTCCTCTCCTCTGGACATCTGAGGGCAGAATAGCAGGGACCAGGGTCACAGCACAAGAATCTTGGAAATGGGAGTGACCAGCTGGCTTAGAGGCAGAGTGCTGGGCTGGGCTTTGGCGACAGAGGTTCTTGCCCTGTAATCTCAGCTACGTGGGAAGCTGAGGCAGGAGAATCACTTGAACTCGGGAGGTGGAGGTTGCAGTGAGCCAAGATCATGCCATTGCACTCTAGCCTGGGCTACAAGAGCGAAACTCTGTCTCAAAAAAAAAAAAAAAAAAAGAAAGAAAGAAAGAAAGAAAGAAAGAAAGGAAAAAAAGAAAGGGAATGCAGAGTGTGATGAGTATGTAGGGTGGAATGGGAATGTCAGGTGGGGCTGCAATAGCCAGGAGGCCGTGGAATCCATAGGATATGTCTTCAAGAGAGAGTGCAGGCTGAGGTGGGCCCAGCTCCTGAGATTTGTTCACCAAGAATTTATTTTGCACCTATCCTATGCCAGGTTGCATGAGGTGCTAGGGGGCAGCTCAGTGTCGGGGAGAACATGGACAATAAAGGCCACACTTGGGAGACAACTGCAGAGATGGAGTGTGGAGGGAGCCCAAAGTGGAGAGGATGTCACTGATGCAGGGACAGCAGAGATAAATCCTTCTTTAAGAAAAGAACTTTAAAAATACAGGATTGGATAAAGAAAACCTAAAATTACTCTTACTCTCAAATCCCAGAGAAAACCACTGCCAAGTATTTTGGTTATTTCCTCTGATTTTTTTTCCTGCATTTATCTGTCCATCTATCTGTCATACTGTTTGTCTGCCCCATCTCTCTCTCTCTCTGTTTCTATCTGTCCTTCCATCCATCTATCAATATCTGTCATCTTCCTATCTTTTGATGTGGATATATTATTTTCTAAATAGACTTGGGACCACACTGCATATAGCGCTTTAAATCCCCCTTTGCTTCCATTGGGATTATATTGTGAACATTTTCCATATCATTAAATGCTTCCCACAGAATTGAGGAGGGCAAGGAAGGAGGAGAAGGATACTCCCAACAGAGACAGCAGCAGGCATAAATGCAAGAAGGAGGGAAAGAGTTTGGGGTGTTGGAGAAAGTACAGACCATTCAGTCTACAGGGTCCACTGGGGGGCTAGCAGTGAAGCTGAGGCTGCTCTTAAATTCTGAGCTCTCAGAGCCCGTGTTTGGATGCTGAGAGATCCAGCCAGCACTCAAAGGCGTATGAAGTGAAGAGACAAGGGGATCAGTTATCAGTTTGGTCATTTTTATGGACAAGCAAGGAAGGAATCAGTGATTGAAATATAATCCTGGTCACCTCTGTTTTCTTGTCTCCACAGAAGTGTGGTAAACTGGACCCCACTTTCGCCAGTGCAACTTTACTGTTTCAGAAAGACCCCCCAGCCGATGTCCAGCTCTTCCAAGTGAGTACGGTCAGTGTATGGCTAATATCAGGGGACTTTGCAGGCCACATGAGTTGGCTAGTGGCTGACCATCGGCTAATGACTAACTTGAATTGTATATAGGTCCATAAAACTCCTTACTCTTGTGCGTAAATACCCAGTGAAGAAAATGGGAATCGTATAGATGTTAATGTCACTATTTCTCCCTTGTTTGCCTAAATTTCTCTCTTTGGGATTAAACTCTTAGCTGCCCCTCTTCCTTACAGATTTTTTTTTTTTACGTGATGGATAATGTACAAAGCCAGACGTCTTCTTGAGTATGCTAAAACAAACAAACAAACAAACAAACAAACAAACAAACCATCTATCTGCTCCAGCTTTTTGAGAGGTGCTACGTAAAGGGTCAGCAAACTTTTCCTGAAAACATTTTAGATTTTGTGGGCCAGATGGTTTCTATTGCAACTTCTCAACTCTGTCATTGTAGCACAAAAGCAGCCACAGGAAAAACAGGAATGAATGAGTGTGTTGCCTTCCAATAAAACTTTATTTACAAAAACAGGCAGTGGGCTTGTGTTGGCCCCCATGCCACAATTTACTGCCCCCTGCACACTAGAGTGTAGTCGTCCCAGGCATGAACTCTGGAACCTGACTGCCTGAATTTGTGTCCACACTCTGCCATTTCCTAATTGTGCAACCTTGAACAACTTACTTATTCCCTTGTGTGCCTCTTAAGCAAGTTAATTATACCCACCTGCAAATGTGGATAATCACATACCTGTTTCATAAGATGGTTTTGAGGATTAAATGTGTTAATAAAAGTAAATTGCTTAGATGGTCCCTGGGATATGGTGAAACACTCAATAAACATTAGCCATTGTTATGATTACTTTGTAAAACAAAAACAGAACTTTATTATGAGATCAATAATTTAAAACATTTTAGAAAATACAGAAAAGCATAAAGAAGAAAATAAAAATCACCAAAAATTCCACCTCCGAGAGCAAATTATTATTATATTTTTGTTTAATTCTTTTCATTATTTCCTATGTGTATATGGACATGTATATACTATATTTATAGCATATATTATCTTTTCCTACATAATTGAATTATTGTCAAACACAAACACAAATGTTTTGCGTCACGTTTTTATGCTTGCATGAACAATCCTTCTAATTAAAGTTCTTCAAAAGTATGTTTTAATGGTTGCATACTATTGTGTTATATGGGGCTGCATAATTTATTTACCCAATCCCCAATTAGTGGAAATGTAGGTTCTTCTTTTTCTTGTTGTTCTTTTATATAACAACACTAGGACCACCCTTGCTATCACTTATGCACCTTCCTGTTCCCTTTGCCCCACGCCCCTCTGAATTCTTTATTCTTACCCCTTGGTGTCCTTTGCCATGTAGCATGAAGCTCACCAGTGTCCCCTGGGCCCATAGAGGGGCAGTGTCCTTGGCAGCTCACCCTGATTGATGACCCTGTCATTCCAGGAGGTGCCCAAGGGTCAGTCTGAGGAGGACATGGTGGGCCGGCCCCTGCCCCACCTGGCAGCGGACATGCAGGCCTCTGGTGAGGCCGTGTACTGTGACGACATTCCTCGCTACGAGAATGAGCTGTCTCTCCGGCTGGTCACCAGCACCCGGGCCCACGCCAAGATCAAGTGAGTGACACCGCCAGGAGGAGCTGGTGGAATGCTGTGAGGGGGCCACTGGGAGTACCCAGGAGACTTCTCTCACCCTGCTAGGCCATGGAGATGCAAAGATAATGAGGTGCCTCCAGGACCTCCCAGGCTAGAGAGAGGGGAAGACCTTATAGGCAGGTCCTATTATTATCTCTCTGTTCCAGATGAGGAAACTAAGGCACAAGCAGGGTATGTTACTTGCCCCAGGCCACACAGTTGGTAAGTGGCAGAGTTGGAATTTGAAGCCAAGCAACGTGAGCAACTGTGTTGTGCTGCCTCAGGATGTTCAAGCCAGAGAGTGTGAACTTCACTTCCTGGTGGGCGTTAGACACATACCCTGCTGAGCAGATCAGCTAGGAAAAGCCCTTCCTTGGGCCCACTGTGTGGACTAGGAATCAGGTTTCCTTGTCATTGGTCTTTTCTCTGCTGCTGCTCCTAGTTTGGAGACGGGATCCCTCCAGGAATGGTGAACCAGGCACAGCTGAAATCTAACAGATAAATAAACTTGTCCAGGTCCCTGAAAACAAAAAAAAAAGTGTTTAAGTTCCCATGGTTGGCAGCTATAGGATACATTCTTTCCCTTTTGTTCCTTGTCTTGAGCCCATATTGACAATACCATAACCCACATTGTCTACGCTCAAACCACCTCCATCCAAGCAATGTGTGAATGGATGGAAGAGGATGAGGGGGTTGACATTGTTGTAACTGCAACAGTTGGGGCCTTCCTGGGCTGCACACACTTGGAAGTGGGTTTGGCAGGACAGAGCTTAACCCTCCTAACTTAACCTCAGTTCCAATAATCCCAGTCACACTGCTTTCTGGCTTAGTGACTTTGGAAAAACTACCTAACTTCCTTGAGTCTGAGTTTCCCCAAACATAAAATGGGAATTAGGATAAGTACTTTCAGGGTTTCTTGTGAGGATTAAGCATTTGGAAGATGGTTAGAACTTCAGGGCAGTTTACATACCTTTCCCTGAAATGTGTTGCCCTATTTCCCCATGGGGGCATGTGCCAGTGTGATGAGTACATAGTTGAGACTGTTATCCTTGATCATATAGTCGGGCATTCTCCCTTTGCGGTTCGTGTTGCCTAATTATGGTAGGATGCCCTGTCATGCTGGGATAGCACAATGAATGTGGGGAGACAAATCCAGCTTTATGAAGCTGTTCAGGGCCATTGGATCAGTGGCACAGCCGGGCTCCATGTGCTGATTTTGGGAGGGAGTTAGGTGTGATGTGTGCATGAGCCAGAGCGCTCCAGAGTAAGTGCTGTTCGTTCTGATATGGCTTGCTTGTACTTGGAGACCAGACAGAGCATCACGTAACATCCAAAGAGGCCTGGCCTGCCTTCTTCACTTTATTTATTTTTAAATGGAGACAGGATCTTGCTATGTTGCCCAGGCTGGTCTTAAACTCCTGGGCTCAAGTGATCCTCCCACCTTGACCTGCCAAGGTGCTGGGATTATAGGCATGAGCCACTGTGCCTGGCTGGCTTATTCACTTTATATCCCCAGCAACATTCAGCATAGTGGCCTGAACATGGTGAGGATTTAATCAACATTTGCAGAATAGGATATAATTGAATTAGAATCTAATAGAAAAGAAGCAGAGAATCGAGGAATTAGGATGGAGCCAAGCCAATCAAAATAAGAACAGGGTTGTCCAACCAGGTGATGGGTCCCCTGCTCCAGCTTGCTGACCTGGCCCCTCACACCACTCATTCTTGCAGGTCCATAGATACATCAGAAGCTAAGAAGGTTCCAGGGTTTGTTTGTTTCATTTCCGCTGATGATGTTCCTGGGAGTAACATAACTGGAATTTGTAATGATGAGACAGTCTTTGCGAAGGATAAGGTAAGTCTTGGATTTTTTTATATGAAGTAAATTGAATAAGTATTGAAGTTTTAATTTGTGTACATTGCTCCAAACTCCTGATCTGGAAAGGTTATACATTTGCATGGATTATGGCCATCATCCAGTTGGCCCATATTCAGGACAATCCAAAAAGATAGAATATGTTACTTGTTTATTTAATTGATGGCTGCTGTTTGTACATGGCAGGATGTCTCTATGCCAAAGTGGCAGTAAAACAACACTGGTGATTGCATTTGAACTAACAATTCGGTTCTTAAGGGACAACAGTAAGCTCTTTAATTAAAATAAAATAAGAATACATTTAGTACACTAACTAGAAATCACAATACCACCACTACGTGAATTGGTAATTCACTTACATGAAAGTTTATCTATTGATTTCAACTATGTGGAATTCTTCAACAACAAACAAAATTTTTCAAATGTTTAAGACAGCTGCTACAAAAGTCCTTATATTTTACTCATAGGATAGTTCTCGACAGTCATTTTGTAATTCCAATAGACATCCAATGTTGCAAATTAGACATGAGTGGGTACTTCTGAAGAGTGAATTCATCTTATTATTGATGTAAAAGTGAAGGAGATAACAAAAAACTAAAAATATGAGAACAAAGACTCCATGAGGAGAGCATTTCATAGAAGAACAAATTGCTTTACATACTTTAAGAGCTTCTCAGAGCAGTGCTAGCATTATGGCTAGTGAAAGTCAGCCAGATTTAACCACCATTGCAATAACCAACAGCCAGATTTAACCACCATTGCACTAACCAACTGAGTCAATAGCTTATTTGGGCCATAAGAGATAATTATCAGAGACATGCATACTAATTGTTGGTTCCTATTGTCAGAAACTTCATCTTCTAAAGTGATGTGTTGTACAAAAATTTTTTGTTGTTTACTTTTTCGGGGATGTTGGATGACAATTATCTCTGAAGGAGATCCATTAAGCTTTTATGAAACTGAATTATTAAACAAAATAAAACAACAATCATTATCATATAAATTTTTAAAAATATTTTTATGGGTCATCAAGTCTAAGAACCAGTATTTGAGAGCTACTGCTTTTGGGTATTAGTTGAAGTATAAGACATGATACTTAAAGTATCATGTCTTGTAAGTACGTGTCTTACAGGCCTTATATTGATGCTTACAGCCTTTACAGCCTTTGAGAAGCTTTTGGTATAAATCTGGGAAATAGAACATAAAAGAGAGTGGTGAGGTGAAAAGAAAATAAAACTGGGGGTCAGGGCCTAAGGTTAGTCATGATCTGTCAATAGTAACTAGCCAAATGTGGCCTTGCCTTCTGAGTCTCCATAGGAAGACCAATGGTGTTGGAGTGAATCCGAATTGACAAATGCACTTCCTGGTGCCATATCCCCCTTTCTGCTCATGGCAAACAAGGAATCAATTGCCACATTCTATCTGGTTCAGCTTCTCAATAGTCTGCCAGTACTAAATACTCAGAATTGGCCCTTGAGATGAAATGTGTTTGCCATCTTGATCCTAGTGATCCTCAATCAGTAGGATAAGGAAATTAAGAGGCCCTAGGGCATTCCTAAAGTGTGCTTTGATTGTGAGGGCAGGGACTTCTTTTGGCTTTTTGAACAATCCAAAAATAATTTGTTTCACCATGAGCCTGGTTGCGTTCTTTAACAGTCTGTCTCTGCTACTAGGTTACTTGTGTTGGGCATATCATTGGTGCTGTGGTTGCTGACACCCCGGAACACACACAGAGAGCTGCCCAAGGGGTGAAAATCACCTATGAAGAACTACCAGCCATTATCACAATTGAGGTAACTGAGAATGGGCTGCCTGTGTAGAGGAGTGAGCTCCCCGTCCCTGGATGTGCATGTATTAGGATCCCCTGGAGGGGATTTGAGCAGCAGGTAGGGATTTGACTAGATGGGTTTTTAAATCCCTTTCAACCCTGGGATTTGGGGTCCCATGAAACCTTCCCCTTTATGATCTTATGCCCAGTCCACTAACAACAGCCAAACTGAGTTCCTCCTTCTCAAAATTTTACCTCCATCTGGTCCTTGTGGTATTCTTTGCTTTTCCTCAAGGTCCAGGGTTGTCCACCTACAGCTGAGGAAATGGAGGAATATGATTCTCTGGGCTATAGTAGAGCTTACTTCAAGTCTGTATGTGAAGCATATAGAGATTCATTTATGGAAAGAGAGAGTCAACAATTCAGAGAGCTTCTCTTTCCCTAATCAGAACCTATCTTTCCCTCCCTGCTAAAAGCCACATTTCTGAAACTTCTTTGTGATCCTCAGGATGCTATAAAGAACAACTCCTTTTATGGACCTGAGCTGAAGATCGAGAAAGGGGACCTAAAGAAGGGGTTTTCCGAAGCAGATAATGTTGTGTCAGGTAGAGCTGTTCCATGCCGCAGTGGGAATGGGGTGGCCCTGGTTTGCAAATTAAATTCAAGAGATATGCATTGAACCCTGAAGCAGGGAAGTGATTTCTGGACATTTCCTGACAGAAGATTCCCTCTTACGTTTGTAGCAAAATAGGAGACAGTTGGATGGGAAAGAGCTTCAGTTATCTTAATCTCTACTCTCCTGTCTCTAGGCTGGACCTAATGATTCTAGAGAGATTCTAGAGTATTCTGATCCGGAAGACCAACTAGGGATGATAACAGCCACATATGCCTGACAGCCTTAGGTCTGCCAGGCCTCTAACCGCATAAATTCTCATCCTCCCCCTACCTGAAGGCAGTCCTTACCCATCTTCAACTAGCATCCTCCCTCCTCTTCCCTTTGCCCTGCTCTCCCTCCACCTCTGTCTCTGACACTGTGAAATCAAATCCATTGCTCCCACCCCAGGACAACACAGCTGACTACCTCTTTTGGAACTGTTTTTTACATTGGCTGTTGTGCTTTGCAAAGTCACTATGAAGCCAACTCTCCAACAAGCCTGGTATGAAGCCGACTCTCCACCAGGCCTGGTAGCTTAGGTTCGGGAACATGCGCTGGTTTTCAGTGTTTCAATCACATCTATTAATCCCTGCTTTACTTTTTCCAAAATTTTACAATGATGGTTTTTGAAATCCTTGATTTCCATAAGCTGCAGTGAGAAGAGAACTTTGGACTGGATGCATTTCAGTGTCGTTCTTTCTTTGTTGTGGGGGTGGGGATGAGGCTGGAGCACTCAGCTCCCAGATAGCTAAGACTTTGGGATCCTTTTCCACCCCAAGTGGGAAACCTTGAGGTTACCCCTCAGGTAGCCATTGCTTCCTGCCCAGACCACTTGGCAGAGTATACTCTCTCCTTAGGCAAGCTGGCCCCTTCTGCAGCATTGGGCTCACTGTGAGGGATCTCACTGCTTCCCCAGGGGAGATATACATCGGTGGCCAAGAGCACTTCTACCTGGAGACTCACTGCACCATTGCTGTTCCAAAAGGCGAGGCAGGGGAGATGGAGCTCTTTGTGTCTACACAGAACACCATGAAGACCCAGGTAGATGCCTTTTGGGTCAGCTCAAGGGGCTGTCAGGGTAGCGGGGAGCTCCTAGCAGACCAGGAGGGCCATGTGGGAAATAGGAAGAGGGAGATGTGGGCTGGTCCAGAGGGTACTCGAGTGTCATAGTCCTGGAGCCAGACTCTTTCACCAACAAGCTGGTATCACTGACCTTGTTCCATAACCTTTCTCAGCCTCAGTTTTCTCATTTATAAAATGGGGCCTGGGTGGGTTGTCATAATTATTAGATGAGTTTTAATATTTAGACTAGAGTTTGGTACATGTTGGCAGTTATCATTTCAGTGCCTATGGCCTCGGTCAAGTCATATCCTGCCTCAGTTTCCTCATATGTAAAATGAAGGTGTTGGATTAAGTCATAGCCACAGGGACCACTAAATTATCTACAGCAGCTCAAATATTCTTTGTTTCTCTACTGCCTGTAATGTGACAGCGGTTGCCAGTGTTTTCGGCAGCTGGTCCTACTCTCATGATCTACCAGTCGCTGGTCACCTGGTCAGACAGAATAAGTTTCTAAAAGTATTCTGTGACCAACTGCTTGCCCTCTGGTTAAAAACCAATGCTGAATTCAGTCTGGCAGGCCCCAGCATCACTAACCACAAAGCTGCATGGGATTTTCAATCAAGGAATTTCAGAATTCGCAGCAGTAATTAGGTCCATGCATGTTGGACAGGCTCTGCCTTAGGCCTGAAATAAGTTCAGGTAATGCATTCAGTGCGAATGTTCTGTCTTTCACTCACAGAGCTTTGTTGCAAAAATGTTGGGGGTTCCAGCAAACCGGATTGTGGTTCGAGTGAAGAGAATGGGAGGAGGCTTTGGAGGCAAGGAGACCCGGAGCACTGTGGTGTCCACGGCAGTGGCCCTGGCTGCATATAAGTGAGTTCCAAAGCCTGTTTCTCCCATCTGGCTCTGGGAAGAAGAATAAGGCTGTCTGTGCCAGGAAGGTTTTCAGGACTTCCCCCTGTTAGAATTAGTTTCCCCCTGCTTTGAATTCTCACAGCCCTCTGTTTTTAGAACCCTTGGGCATAGTGGGAGGGTAACATCGCCTGTTCCGTTGTGGTCTGGCACAGGTATCCACCTCTGATCTCTCCTACTGGCTGTGAGCTCTCTAAATGAAAGCACATACCTCGCTTCCTTATATTCTCCACCTTGTCTATCACAGTGCCTAGATGGCAAAGCAGCCCTGTACAGGTCTGCTCAGCGTGCAGGTGGAAAAGATGGCTTCCCGGCTGTTTTTATTCTGAGACTTGCAGGGCTGAGCTGCTGTTGAAGGCTCACAGGCTTCTAACACTGTCGGTAACCCCCAGGACCGGCCGCCCTGTGCGATGCATGCTGGACCGTGATGAGGACATGCTGATAACTGGTGGCAGACATCCCTTCCTGGCCAGATACAAGGTTCTAGATGTTGGGGCTGTGCTGGGGCGGGATGAGCCATTTTGTGAGGAAAGCTGGGACCGAATGTCCAGGCATCCTGAGCTGCACTCCTACTTTTTGCCTATCTGTAGAAGTTCAAATAAGATATAGCAAGAAGAGAAATTCAAATAGGCTAACAGCAACACAGAAAGGTAGTGCTGAGGGAGGCTGGCACCCCATCTCCCAAGGGTGGCATTCGTGACTTCTGTGGATTTGCTGTGTTCTGAGTCTGGTCAGGCTCAGAAACATGATTCACCAGCATACTCAGGGTAAACCATCGCGCTTGGTAGCCCAACATTAACATGATCACAGGCCTGATGTAAAAATTGGAATGACAGCTTAGTAATTTACTGTGAGAAATAAAACTTCCCAGGGGCCTGGACAGGCCCAAGATGTTAGGATGGGTATGTACTTTTCCAGACCATGGTTGGACACGGTCCACACTTCTCTCTGGGACAGTCCCTCTTCTGGGTTTCTGTGGATGACCAATGCACCCTTTCCCTGTACACATCAGCAAAGCCTTATGGGGCTCCGCCTAGCTCTAGAAACCTGAGAGCCCTCTCTCCATGAATTGGCCTTGAACATGGCCTTTGACCTATTCTGAGTTTGTTTCATGATTTAACTCCCAGCAAGGGATTATATTTCTCTTAGCCCCAAATTCTTGTGGGCCTGAAGAGGATTCCTTGATCTTCTGGGGTCCCAGTTTCCGTGTGTGTAAAACAGCCTGTAAAGGGTATTTTAACAGTGTACATAAGGTCAAGGATTTGCGTGCTCCTGTGAAATGAAACTTTTTGTGTCTTCTGACCAAAATCTGTGAGGAGACAGTCCGGTATCTTTCCTAGTTTCTCTTCCCTGCGCTTCCCCCCCGCCCTATCGTGACCAGCCTTCTCTTTCCAACCTCCTTACTCCCCTCCGAGACCAGAAGCCAGGTGCCGGTAGCAGGAGGAAGAGGTGTGGGGACAAGGGCTTCCAGGGGTGGGGAGCCAAGTGTGTGCCACTGGGGAGAGGTCAGTTCCTCTCTTCTTCACTTGTTACCTTCTGGTGACTTCTGAAGGTCACCTTTTTTTCACGGGATGATGTGGTGTTCTGTTTATTTCCTCCAGGTGACATAAGTGGGAGGGAGGATCAGAGGGAGACAGAGAGGTGGGGGAAACGGGACTTATGATAAATCCCTCTCCTTTCTCCTTTTATCAGGTTGGCTTCATGAAGACTGGGACAGTTGTGGCTCTTGAGGTGGACCACTTCAGCAATGTGGGGAACACCCAGGATCTCTCTCAGAGTGTGAGTAGGACCTGCAGCCGCCCCTGCACCCAGAGCTGACTTCGAGGTCAGCCTGTTCCCACGCAGGCACAGGCCTCCCCAGTCCCTGCTTGCTACTGTTGCAGTAGTCTCCTAATGGGTCCCCACCTTCAGGTTTCCCATCCTCGATTAATCTCTATAGCACAATGATGATCGTATTATTTCTCTGGTTAAAAACCCATCCTTCCTGTTCAAGATAATTTGCCAAGCTAGCAAGTTAGTTACAATGTTTTATGTATAGTGTGGTGGCATTGTGTGTGTGTACATATGCATGGAATAGTAATATATATATACAGTAACATATAAACTAATACTAATATATATTACTATATATAGCATGCGTGGAAAAGTGTCTGAAGGAACATATACCAAACTGTTAGCAGTGATGATCAAATTGTTAACAACGATTGGAATGGTATTGAGAGGCGTACACACTGTCATTTTCTGTGTTACACATTTCTGTGATGTTTTAATTTTAAATAATTCGAATTGCTTTTTAAAAAATGGTTTCATTGAAGTATAATTTACATACCATAAAGTTAATCCATTTGAAGTATATAATTTAATGGTTGTTAGTAAATTTCAAGAGTTGTTAGACCACTGTCACAATCCAGTGTTTGAACTCCCATCACCCCAGAATGATGTCTTGCATCATTTGTAGTCATTCCCATTACCATTCCATAGGCCCAGGTCATCATTAATCTACTTTCCGTCTTGTAGTCAAGTCATTTTATAGAACCATACACTATGTAGTTTTTTCTGTTTGGTGTCTTTCTCTCAGAATAATGTTTTGTAGGTTCATCTATGTTTTTATTATTATTCTTTCTTTTGAGATAGAGTCTCACTCTGTCGCCAGGCTGGAGTGCAGTGGCACGATCTTGGCTCACTGCAACCTCTGCCTCCAGCTTCAAGCGATTCTCCTGTCTCAGCCTCCCGAGTAGCTGGGATTACAGGCATGCACCCCTATGCCTGGCTAATTTTTGTATTTTTAGTAGAGACAGGGTTTCACCATGTTGATGAGGCTGGTCTCGAACTCCTGACTTCAAGTAATCAGCCCTCCTCAGCCTCCCAAAGTGCTGGGATTACAGGCGTGAACCACTGCATCCGGCCCATCTATATTATAGCATGTATCACTACGTCACTCCTGTTCATTGATGAATAATATTCCATCATAGGGATATACCATATGTTGTTTCCCATTCACCACTTGATGGACATTTGTGTTGTTTCCAGTTTTTTGCTTTTATGCATAATACTGCTCTGAACACTCTCATACTAGCCTTATGTAGACATGTATTTTGATTTCTCTTGACTAAATTCCTAGGAATAGAATTGCTGAATCTGTGGTGAGCTTAACATTTTAAGAAATGATCGCATTTTCATGGGCGGAGGCGGCCCGGCAGGCACTGGGAGAGCTGGGCTTTATTATTACTAATATTCTACAATTGTTTAAATAAAAGGAACTTTATAATGAAACAGTTTGGAATACTGGCTCAAGAACCTATGTCAAGATGAGCTGAATTTTAGTAAATTACTTTAGGAATTATGACGAGCTAATTGAATTAGGCTTGTGACAATGAGGAATTTACATGACAGGTAAAACTCATATTAAAAATGTTTAGATATTTGCTTCTATAGATGTCACTTTAATAAAATACCAATTTAGTTTTACTTGTGGCTTATCTAGTTAGTAAGAACTTTAATAGGCTTTACTGGGACAAGCTTACTGCTCTTGTAGGAGCTCCTCTCACAAGTAGTTGTAATGCCATAGAGTGACACTCAGGATCAGTAGCTTGAGATGTTATGGTTTTTCTCTTCATCTATGACTTGCAGAGAGCCTCCCCTTTTTGGATCCAGACATCTTTTCTGAATCCTGGTTCCACTAGTACATCTGCTCCCCTGTGATCCCAAATCATAGTCAATGGTGCCTCGAACATAGCACCTTCAGTTAAAGGCTGCCTAGTGCTCTGAGGAAAGCTTGCTGATTATCTTCCTGCTCTACTCACCCCAAAAGGCAGAAAAGCAACATAGTCAGTCCTGTGCTCATTTGTAATTGTAAAGATCAGTTATATATATATATATATTTGTAATGAGAGCAAGTATATACTCATTATAGGATAAATTTAAGGAGTTTAAAATATCCCAAAGTAGAATTTCTATATCTAGCCTTTTGTTTCTTTCATGAATATTTGCAAGCAATTACCATTAAATTCACACATGAAAGATTAATCTGAAAGATCAGAGAGACCGTATTATTCCTGACCATGATAGAACTGCTTCTGTGGTCTGGGACAAGTAACAAAGCATCTGCTTGAGTTTTGTTTGTAAAATACACTATTAATATTTGACCTACCTCAAAACATATTGAGGATCTGTGAAATGCTAAGTGTCCAAAATAAAATATTGCTGATTGTCTTTTTATTGAAAGTAAATTTCCTCATTAAGCCAACCTGCCTTCTGTAAGTCATAGTGCTTAAATCTCAGGATTTTTCATTAGGAGAGACCTGTCATTAAGGATTTGTAGGTATAATTGCTTAGCCTCCATTATTGGTGCTTGGGATAGAGAGGTTTTAGATTTTTCTGTTTTTTGTTCTGCTTCAAAGCTCAGTTTATTGAAGACATTTATAAGCTATTGGATCATCACTTGAATCAAGATTTTGACTAGTGAGCTTAATTGTCCATTTCTTATGATTTCAAAGTTACAGTCTGAGAAATGGCTGATTTTAATAACTGTCCTTTCATAAATTAATGTTGGAATAAACTGAAGCTGGAGATAAATACTTCATGAAAACTGGCTAAAGTCTGAAATAATTACCTGTTTTATGTCCAATAGCTACTAAATTTGATAGAACAGTTTTGAGAAACATTTCATTCTTGAAGGCAACATCTGACATGGTTCTCAGCAAGTTGGAATAGTAAAGATTGCTGGGCTGTTACGATGAGTGGAAGGAGCGTGTTTGTAGCATACAAGTTATTCAGCAATCTTGTGCTGTTGACCTAAAAATATGTCTTAATTCTTCATCAAGGCAAGCCTGGTGAAGTCTTTACTTGTTACTACTTCAACAGTTGGAATTAGTTGCTCTTTTTACTTGATGAAACAAAACTATACCTCTGAATATTTATGGATACTTTTTACTAAATCAGGCTTGTGTTCTTAATCCAAATTAGTAAAGTTTTATGGAAGCTGAAATGTAACACAGTAGTCTCCCCTTATCTGCAAGAGATACATTCCAAGACTCCCAGTGGATGCCTGAAACATCAGATAGTACTGAACTCCTTGTTATACAGTCATCTCCCCTTATCTGCAGGAGATACATTCCAAGAACCCTAGTGGACACCTGAAACCTCAGATAGTACTGAACCCCTTGTTATACAGTCATCTTCCCTTATCTGCAGGAGGAGATACATTCCAAGAACCCTAGTGGGTGCCTGAAACCTCAGATAGTACTGAACCCTTTATAGACTATGTTTTTTCAATCTGACAACCAAGGCGGGACTAAGCGGCTAAGGGGCAGGTAGTACACAGTGTGGATAAGCAGGACAAAGGGAAGATTCACATCCCGCACAGGACAGAGCAGGAGATCATCAGATTTCATCACTCAGGACAGCTTGTGATTTATTTTATTTATTTTTTGTTTTGAGATGGAGTCTCACTCTGTCACCCAGGCTGGAGTGCAGTGGTGCAGTCTTGGCTCACTGCAACCTCCGCCTCCTGGGTTCAAGTGATTCTCCTGCCTCAGCCTCCCAAGTAGCTGGGATTACAAGTGCCCTGCCCCACCACGCCCAGCTAATTTTTGCATTTTTAGTAGAGACGGGGTTTCACCAGGTTGGCCAGGCTGGTCTCGAACTTCTGACCTCGGGTGATCCACCCGCCTCATCCTCCCAAAGTGCTGGGATTATAGGCATGAGCCACCTTGCCCGGCCGACTTGTGATTTAAAACATAAATTGTTTATTTCTGGAATTTTCCACATAATATGTTTGGACCAAGGCTTCCTTGGTTAACAAACTACGGAAAGTGAAATTGCAGATAAAGGGGGTTACTGCTCCTGTGCTCTAAAACTGGTGTTTGGGTGATCAGGAGCAGGTAGCCAATGGGAAGAGCACATCTGAGTGATAACTAAAGGAGTTTCTCTGGTGGCCTTTTCACATTCTCCAATGCTCAAGCATATTTTCCAC
Organism: Homo sapiens; assembly: GCF_000001405.40. Classification (NCBI taxonomy): domain Eukaryota; kingdom Metazoa; phylum Chordata; class Mammalia; order Primates; family Hominidae; genus Homo; species Homo sapiens. Next base: position 31,359,962 of record NC_000002.12, on the reverse strand, counting down.
TTACCATTTTCTCTTTCACCTCATTTTGCCTCACCATCCCCCATCCCTGCTTATTTCTTAAGCCCATTGATGGCACTCATTAAATTGTGTTTAGGGCTAATGAATCATTGTTCCTTAATATCCTTTTCAATATGCCACAATTTAGGACACATTTAAAATTTTCTAAAACAATATCCTAATCCGAATATTGATTAATTTGAGCCACATTCCCAACTCTAACTCAGGGCACACTGCCAGTCTTCCCCAATATCTCCTCTCAATTCCCCACCACACCTTATAAAATTGGAATCAAAGAAATCTCACTCTGTCATTGTGAATCTAAGAATAAAAACACTGATTTTAATACTGCTTTACTAGTTTCAGCCTTCTAAGTAGGTAGGCCTCTAGGTATTCTGCAGATCACTGGTGGTCTTGATAGCCATTAATATATGTTTGTATTATGTTATTTTTTAACTAAATCACAGTTGGAAAAAAACATCTTTGATATTATGCCCTTGGACCTGTTACTGCATCACTGGCGCTTGTGATGCAATAGGACACTTCGCCTGTACTAAAAGGGCCAAGAGTAAATGCCTTGTTTTTTTTTTTTTGGTTTTTGTTTTGTTTTGTTAAACATGTCTATAGAGTTGGCAGTTAATGCTGAATTTGTCAAACAGCCCTTCCAAAACTATTCTTGTATTTAAAAAATAAATGGATCTACCTAATTTCTATTGATTTTTTTTAAAAAAGAAATGATCAAATTATATTCCTGAGTGACTACACCATTTTATATTCCAATCAACAATCTTTAGGGATTCCACATCCTCAGTAACACTTGGTATTGTCTGTCTTTACCCACTAGAATTAGTGGGTGTGAAGTGATAGCTCATTGTGATTTCAGTTTGTGTTTCTTATATCCTGTGACCTTGCAGAACTCATTTATGAGTTCTAGGATTTCTTCTGTAGATTCCTTGGGATTTTCTCTGCAGACAATCATTATCATCTGCAAATAGGGATGGTTTTTTTCTTCCTTTCCAATCTGCATGTTTTCATCTCCTTTTCTTTACATACTGAGATGGCTAGCCAGACCTTGCAGAACTATAGGTCATATATCCTTCCTTTGTTTTTATTCTTAAGGGGAAGACATCCAGTCTTTCACCATTAAATATGTTATTGGTAGGGTTTTGTTTGTTTGTTTGTTTTTTGTAGATACTCATGATCAGATTAAGAAAGTTTTCTTCCATTAGTGTTTTCTGAGCATCTTTATAATGAATGGGTGTTGAATTTTGTCAAATGCTTTTTCTGCACTGACTGATATGATCATGTGATTTTTTCTTCTTTAGCTTGTTAATATTGTGGATTGTATTCATTGATTTTTTTAAACACTGAACCAACCACTGTCCTTGGAATGAATCCAGCTTGGTCATGGTATAATTAATATATTGCCAAATTTTATTTGCTAAAATTTGTTAAGGATTTTTGGATCCATATTCATGAGAAATATTGCTCTGTAGTTTTTTCTTTTAAAATTATACCATCTTGGTCAGGGTTTGGTGTCAGGATAACACTAGCTTCATAAAATGAGTTAGAATTCCTCTTCTAATTCTAGAACAGATTGTGTAGAATTGGTGTTAATTCTTCTTTAAATGTTTGGTAGAATTTTCCAGTGAAATCGTTTGGACCTGGAGACTTCTTTTCTGATAGCCTTAAAACTATTGATTAAATTGCACTGTGGTCTGATAGACAGTTTGTTATAATTTCTGTTCTTTTACATTTGCTGAGGAGTGCTTTACTTCCAACTATGTGGTCAATTTTGGAATAAGTGTGATGTGGTGCTGAGAAGAATGTACATTCCGTTGATTTGGGGTGAAGAGTTCTGTAGATGTCTATTACGTCAGCTTGATGCAGAGCTGAGTTCAATTCCTGGATATCCTTGTTAACTTTCTGTCTCGTTGATCTGTCCTAGAGCTTAAAAGTATAATACTTGAAAAAAAAAGAAACAAACAAAAAAACACTATTGATTAAATTTCCTTAATAGTTCTAGGACTATTCAAATTATCTATCTCATACTGAAGTGGTAGTTTTGTATTTTGAGACATTCATTTAAAAATGTTTTGTTTTTCATTATTATTGGTACATAGTAGTTGTATATATTTATAGGATACATATGATGTTTTGATACAGGCATACAGTGTATCAGGATAAACAAATCAGGGTAACGTCAATATCTATCACCTCAAGAATTTATCATTTTTCTGTGTTAGGGAACATTTCAATTCTACTCTTATTTATTTTTAAATATACGATAAATTATCATATATTTAAAAATATTATAGTCACCATATTGTTCTACTGTATGCTAGATGTTACTCATTCTAACTATATTTTTATATGTATTAACCATCCCCATTTTATCCTCTGTCCCCCTACCCTCCCCAGCCTCTGGTAAACATCATTCTACTCTTTATCTCCATGAATTCAATTTAATTTTGTCTAAGTTATTAAAAAATTCATGTGTGTAGAATCGTTCATAGTGTGTTCTTATTTCTCTTTTGATGTCTTCAGGGTCTGTAGTGATAGCCCGTGTTTCAATCCTGATTTGGTAATTTGTGGCTTCACTTTGTTTTTCTGTCTTGCCAGAGGTTTGTCAATTTTATTGCTCTTTTTAAAGACCCGGGTTTTTGTTTCATTGATTTTCTCTATTGTGTTTGTTTTCAATTTCACTGATTTCTGCTCTTATCCTTATTATTTCGTTCACTCTGTTTGCTTTGGATTTATTTTGCTTCTCTTTTTCTAGGTTCTTGAGTTGAAAGCTTAAATTAACTATCTGAGAATGTTTTCCTCTTTTTTAATGTATTCAATTTAGTGCTGTAAAGTTTCCCCTCAGCACTACTTTAGACAGGTCCCATAAGTTTTGGTATGTTGTATTTCATTTTTTTCTTGTATTTTTGGTCTGCTTGTTTATTTCCCTGACACCTTCTCTTTGATCCCTAATTATTTAGAAGCATGCTGTTTGGTTTTCAGGTGTTTATAGATATTCCAGTTATCTTTGTATCCTGAGGCTTTCTATTGATTTCTAGTTTCATTCCGTTTTAGTTGAAGAACACAGTCTATAGGATTTCAATTCTTTGAAGTATGTTGAGGTTCATATCATGGCCCAGGACATGGTCTGTTTTGATACAAGTTCCACGGGCACCTAAGCAGAATGTGTATTTTGCTGTTGATGGCTGTGTATTAGTTTTCTGTGGCTGTTATAACAAATCACCACAAATTGGGTGGCTTAAAATAACGAACATTTATTTTCTCACAGTTCTGAGGCCAGAAGTCTGAAATCAAGGTGTTGGCAGGACCGCACATCCTCTGGAAGCTCTAGGGAAGGATCCATTCCTGACCTTTTGTAGTTTCTGGTGGCTGGTGGCACTCCTTGACTTGTGGTTGCATCAGTCCAATCTCTGTCTTTGTCTTCCCATCACCTTCTCCTGTGTGTCCATTCTTGTCTACCTAGACATACTTCTCTCTTACAGAGACATGTGATTGCATTTAGGATCCACTCCAATGGTTCAGGATAAGCTACTTCTCTCCAGATCCTTAACTTTATCACATATTTTGCCATATAAGGTAGTATTTACAGGTTCCATGATTAGAAAGTGAATATATCTTTGGGGAGGCATTTCTTTTTCCTACCACATGTATAATGTGCTATAAATATCCACTAGATCCTGATGGTGGTGTTGAGTTCTTCTATACCCTTCCTGATTTTCTGTCTATTTTTTGCTACCAATTTTGAGAGAGGAGCATTGAAATCTCCAACTGTAATTGTGGAGTTTTCTATTTCTCCTTTTAGTTCTACCAGTCTTTACTTCATATCTTTTTCAGCTCTTTTATTTGGGGCAGACACAATTAGTATTGCTGTCTTTTGGGAGGATTGACACTTTTATCATTATGTAATCTCCTTCTCTCTGTCTCTGGTAATTGTATTTGCTCTGAAGTCTACTTTATCTCATATTAATAAAGCCACTCTTGCTTTCTTTTGATTAATGTTTGCATGTTATATCTTTTTCCATCCTTTTACTTTCAACTTGCCTACATTATTATATTTGAAGTGATTTTCTTGAAGACAGTATGTAATTGGGTCATGTTTGTAAATCCATTCTGCTAATCTCTTTTAACTGTATTTATACAATTTATACATCATATAATGATTGATGTGTTGAGGCATAAGACTGCCACTTTATTTTTTGTTTTCTGTTTGTTCTATCAGCTTTTCATTTCTCTGTATTCTTTTGTGTGCCTTGCTGTGGGTGGGTTACTTGGACATTTTTTTTAATATTCCATTTTTATTAAAAGTATCTCTTACATAGCTTTCTTAGTCATTGTTCAAGGTATTATGTTATATATACACAACTTATCACAGCCTACTGAAGTTCTCATTTTACTAGTTTTGGTGAAGTATAGAAAACTTACCTCCCTTTATGACTCTGCCCTTTCCCATTTATATTATTTTTATTTTAAATATTTTCTTTACATTCATTTAGAACCACATCAAGACAGTGTTTTAATTTTTGTTTCAACTATCAGACAATTTTAAAAACTGAGAAGAAAAGCTTACTGCTTGTACCCATGATTTTGCTTATAGTGTTTTTCCTTCCTTCTAATTTTCCAAGCTTCCTTCTTTTATCATTTTCTTTCTGTTTAGAACTTCCTTTAGTCATTATTTTATTGTGGGTCTGCTGGGGACACATTTTCTTAGTTTTCCATCTGAGAATGTCTTGATTTTTTTCCTTGTTCCTGAAGGATCACTTTACTGGGCATTAAGTTTTGAGTTAACAGTTCGTTTCTTTCAGCACCTGAAAAACTGCCACTTCGTTCTGGTCTCTATGGCTTCTGATGAGAAATCCTCTGTCATTCTAATTAGGCTCCCCCTATAGGTAAGTTGTCATATTCTCTGGGTGCTTTCAAGATTTTTCCTTTGTCTTTAGTTTTCAGAAGTTTAATTATGATAGGACTTACCATAGATTTCTTCAGGCTTATCCTGTTTTAAGATCACCAAGCATCTTGAATCTGTAGGTTTACATATCTTGAAACCTTGGGAACTTTTCAGTTATTATTGCTTTGAGTACTTTCATGCTCTTCTCTTTTTCTCCTTTTCTTCCAGATCTCCAATGGCATGAGTGTTAGGTCTTTTGTTATAGTCCCAAATGTCCTTGAAACTGTAATTTTTTTTTCATTCCATATTCTCAATATAGTTCAGACTGGATAATATATCTTATTCTATTCTTCAGTTCACTGATTCTCTTCTATGTCCCTTCTCTTCTGCTGTTGAATCCACCCAATAAGCTATTTATTTTGGTTGTTGCCTTTTCAATTCTGAAAGGCCCATTAGGTTCTTCTTTGTATCTTCTATGTCTTTGGTGAGACTATCTGTTTATTTCCAGAAGCTTTTTATTTCTGTCAAGTGTGTTCACAATTGATCTCAGAGGCATTTTTTTCATGGCTGCATTAAAACTACAGTCAGATAATTTTAACATCTTTGTCACCTCAGTGATGGCATCTCTTGGTTATCTTTTATTATTCAGGAAGTTTGAGATCTTCCTATCACTTGGTATGACAAGTGATTTTTCACTGAAACTTGGAGAAACCCGTCATTAATGTACAGATGATGGTGGTGATGACGATGTTCTGAGAGCTTGGATCTATTTAAGCCTTCTATTTTAATTGGCTCCTTCTGACCTTGCTCTAGCAGTGGTGGATGCCACCTCATCACTGCTAGGTAGAGGTAGAAATCTTGATCTTCCACTTGGCCTTTGTTGATACCCAGGTTAGGAACAACTCCTTCTTACTTCTGGGCAGAGATGGGAGATCTACATTCCACGTGTTGTCCATGGACATCATGGTGTGGGTGGCCTCTTTACCACTGGCTTGTGCTAAAAGCCTTGACTCTTCACTAGACTTTTTCTGACACAACCAGAAAGGAAGGGAAGAGTGGTGTGTCTTTGTTATGTGGGTGGGGAAGTCAATGTGTTCTCCAGTGACTCCATCATAAGGTGTAGGTACAGCCTTATGACTGGCCATCAGCAATGAAAGTCTTGACTCCCGATCTGGTCTCCTCTGGCACCATCCCAGCAGGAATGTTGGGGTATCTCATAACAGCCTCATGAATGTGGAAGTCTGGGCTCCTACTGAGCTTTTGCAGGTGTGAGTAGGAATGAGACTACGTTTTCTTTTTCTGTGATGTTTGGCTGGGGTACTTATTGTCTAAAAGTGTTTAGTTTTGCTAGACTGCCCTTTTCTTGGTCTTTTGGCTAGAGATAAAAGGATTTGGAATATATAGTGAGCTTTTTGGTCTCTGTCATCATTGGCATTTCTGGATTGCCAGCTCCTGCCCCAAGTCTGGGATATATAGATGAGGCAAAAAGGAAACCCCTGGAACTCACCATCATGTCATTCCTTGGGTTGCAAAGTCCCTACTGGGACTGCCTTTTTTTTTCCTCCACTTTTCAGAGTATTCTTACATTGTTGTTGTGGTTGATTTTAAATAAATATATAGAATTCCAGAGTTTTTAGTGGTACTTAATGGAAGTATGGAAGTGAAAGTCTCTGTATATACTTCAATGTTGAGTTTCTCACAAGATAGAATCCTGAGTAATGTGTCAGTAATTATCGTGTGCTTTTATATTTAGTCTCAGTTGATGCTCCTCCAGTCACATTGTAAATGACCAGGGTAAGACCAGAAGTGGGAGCTACGTACTCCTCATTATTGTGGTCACAGCTTTGGGAGATGAACTTGGAATATTGAGTTGTTTAGAAAAATAACTAGAGGGCTTGGATGAAATAAAGTCAATTGTGAGAATTAACAAATTTATTTTGGTGGTACCACTTTTTACAGTTTTTTAAATCTTAATTTTGTAACCATAGTAGTTACGTATGTATAGATTCTTGTTTGAAAAAAAAAAAAAAAGAGGTGGCTGGGTGCGGTGGCTCATGCTTATAATCCCAGTACTTTGGGAGGCCGAGATAGACAGATCACTTGAGGTCAGGAGTTCAAGACCAGCCTGGCCAACATGGCAAAAGCCTGTCTCTTTGAAAAAAAAAAAAAAAGGTTAAAGTTTTCAGGAAAAGCCGACATTCCCCTTTACCCTTTTGGATCACACTCCTCTCTGCTAGGGGCTGCCTAATTGGCTCAGTTAGGAAACTTCACACTTCAGATCTAGGGTTAAAATTGTTCAAAAAAAGAATTATTCTTATTTCTTGTTCTCTTCAAGTATAAGACATGCTTTCTGGTATGGGAAAAAATCACGTTGAAAAACATACAGTCTTTGTCCCTAGACATCCTACAAGATTTTCAATTCAATCCAGCAAATATATTAAGTGCCTAGGGTGGCTACATAAGGAAGGCTATGACATTGTTTCTGCCCTCAAGAAATTCACAATATGGCAGGGGAAGTAGATGATAAAAGAAACAGAAATACAAGTTGATAAAGTACTAGGGAAAGCAAAAGTAGAATTAATTGAGACATAGAAAAATCATTTAGGATGAGTAAGACTGAAATTATCAAAGACACATAAAGCAACTTGTGGGAGAGAGAGAGTACCCATAGGGAAATAAACCAAAACCAAAATAAAACAAACAACAAAAAAAGAAAGCTGCCATTGATCTTTCCAGAGAGATGAGATATTACAACTTAAAGAAGGAACAGAATGTTACTAAAATGGAGCAGTCAAAGAATAAAAATGAGCTCTCATGACTTGACACTATGAAAGCAGAGGGGTTCAAAGAAACTTGACAAATCTCCCAAAAATGGAAAACAATGTGAAAAAATAGAGAAAATACAAAAAAATTTTGAGGATCAGTTCAAGAGGTCCAAATCATAGACATTTCAGAAAGAAAGAATGGAAAAAACAGAGAAGGGGAAGCTATCAATAATTCAAAAAATTTTCCAAAACTGATGGGCATACACTTTGGGATTAAAACAGCCCATATAATAACCAGCACAATGAAAGAAAATAGACCTATGCCAGGTTATAATGTTATGAAATTTAGAAACCTGAGGACAAAGAGAAGATTTCACAATTTTCAGGAAGAAAAAACAGAACTCTCCAAGAATTGGAAAGGCATTGATTGGACTTCTCAATAGCAGGAAGCTAGAATGTACTAGTAAAATGCCTTCACATTGCTGAGAAAAACTGGAAAGCCTACTTCCAAATTAGGATTCTATATACAGCTGAATCATTAATTAAAGGTGAAAGTAGAATAAAGACATTTCAGACATGCAAGGTGTCAAAGATGTTCCTCTTTGTGTACCCTTTCTTATGAAGATATTAAAGGATGTACTCCAACAAAATGAGGGAGTAAAATTTAAAAAGGGAAAGGCATGGAATCTAGGAACAGGGGATTCAATATGGAGAGAGGTGAAGGGAATCCCTGGGATGAATCCCTTTACCCCTTTGGATCCCACTGGGGGATTTAAGATTTAAATCCTTAGGTAACAGCTGAATAGCAGATCTAGTGGGCAGCGAATTTAAATTGGAGTAGGCCAGATGGCTCTAGGATAGAAAATCTGATGTGCTTGAACATGTTGGAAGCAGAGCTCAGGAGGGAAAAGAGAAAATATATTAGGAGCAGATTTTTAGAATTGGGGAAAACTTTAAGTTGGCTTAGTAATAAGTACATACAAAATGAAGCAGATGAAAAAATAAAGACAATTATTAACTCCAGGGTGAAAAAAATATTATCAAGAGAGAAGAAATTGTAATGTAACTACATGGTTCAGCTGTAAGTAATGTTTACAGAGTTATAATATTAAATTGACTGTTGATCTGATCAAAATACAACTATACTGGGAAATAGGAAGCTGGTAGGGGTGAGGGCTGGAGGGAGGGGGCTAAGCCAAAACTAAATTCTCCTTTTCCATAAAAGAAAGACAACCTAAAAGTCTAAAACTGAAAAAGTCAAGACATAGCAATGTAGCCACATTATCTAGAGACGTATAAGTTTATCTAAATAGCTGATAGATGATAAGCTATGAGAATTGTAAGTAGTTGCTTCTGGAGACTAGAAGGAAGGAAAGTGGAAGAGGCTACTGTTTTTCATACCATGACTTACAGAAGTATGGGACACTTCAAACTATTTGCAGTACAACTTTCATGGCTGTTTCATAGTTTTCATTAACTAATTTACAATGAATTTTTAAAAGTTAACTGTTTTCAAAAAGAGGCAAGTGATTAGTTCCAACTAGAGGCTCTGGAATGAATTTCTCCACAGAGTTGCTGAATGAGGGGACTAGTGGGTGGATAAGGTGCAGTAAAGATGCTGCCGCAGGCTGGGCTCATGCCTGTAATCCCAGCACTTTGGGAGGCCAAGGCGGGCGGATCACGAGGTCAGGAGATCGAGACCTTCCAGGCCAACATGGTGAAACCCCATCTCTACTAAAAATACAAAAATTAGCTGGGCGTGTGGTGCGTGCCTGTAATCCCAGCTACTCAGGAGGCTGAGGCAGGAGAATTGCTTGAACCAGGGAGTAGGAGTTTGCAGTGAGCCAAGATCGCTCCACTGCACTCCAGCCTGGTGACAGAGCGAGACTCCATCTCAAAAAAAAAAAAAAAAAAAAAAAAAAAGATGCTGCTGCAATATCCTGGGGGAGAAATAACTTGGGTGCAGAGGGGAAAGGCAGGCAATGGATACAGCCCTCAAAGTTCCTACTTTGAGGAACCAATGCAATCAGTACACTGTTCTCTCCCATTTTTGTTTCCTCTGCTTCAGATTATGGAACGAGCTTTATTCCACATGGACAACTGCTATAAAATCCCCAACATCCGGGGCACTGGGCGGCTGTGCAAAACCAACCTTCCCTCCAACACGGCCTTCCGGGGCTTTGGGGGGCCCCAGGGGATGCTCATTGCCGAGTGCTGGATGAGTGAAGTTGCAGTGACCTGTGGGATGCCTGCAGAGGAGGTAAGCTGAGAATTTGGTAGCACAAGTCAGAGTGCTTTAGACTACTTCGGGGGACAGCGGCTTTGTATCTTGGGCATCTCCCATGGGGGCAGATGACAGGCAGGGGCTGCTGAGGGGGTTGGAAGCTTAACTTTAGGTTGTGCCCTGCCCCCACAGTCTCTTGCCGCCAACAAGGCCTCTGTGTCTCTCTCCTTGGGAAGGTGCGGAGAAAAAACCTGTACAAAGAAGGGGACCTGACACACTTCAACCAGAAGCTTGAGGGTTTCACCTTGCCCAGATGCTGGGAAGAATGCCTAGCAAGCTCTCAGTATCATGCTCGGAAGAGTGAGGTTGACAAGTTCAACAAGTAAGCACTAGGAGTAGAAGTCCAGTTGCTCTTCTGGGTTTCATATCCTACAGCCTTTCTGCTGACCCCATATAGGAAGCTAATAATTCAATGGATAACTTATGAGACTGCTGAGTTTGCCAACTCATTCACAGCCATCTCTTTAAGATCTTATAATGATCTTCAGCCCGGGGCAGGTGGGCTCACAGCCTGCAATCGGTGTCATAGCCTGTCAGTTGTGGTTCATCTTTACGCGTTTGTAAACCTTTGGGCACACCGTATGATAAAGAACACTGGCCTAGGACTAACACGTCACAGTTATGCACCTGCCTCTGACACTGATCTATAAATATGAATTTGGGAGTCCCTGGGCCTCAGTTTCATCATGTGAAAAGTGGGCATAATTGGGCTGGCTCTGTCTTCCTCACAGAGTTACTCAGATAATTAAATATAAAGCACAGAGAAGGCTTTATTATTGTCAGTGAGGCACAGTGCCTCCTGGAGATGATGACAGCCCAAGATTACCAGGGCACTCTGACCCAGTACGGGTTGCACTCAGGGAAGAAGAGTGTTGACAAGACCCCCTGGTGTGGGCTGTGCACCAGCTGACTGTTCTCATCTTTGTGGGCAACCCCAAGGATGTCCTGTTTTGATGTGAACATCCAAAGATATTCATGTCCTCAATATGATAGCGAAGGTTCTATAAGAATATTCCTTTTTCTCTAGGGAGAATTGTTGGAAAAAGAGAGGATTGTGCATAATTCCCACCAAGTTTGGAATAAGCTTTACAGTTCCTTTTCTGAATCAGGTAATTGCTTTATAGAATTGTGTCCATCTCCGCTGGACTGGGACCCCATTTCCCTGTTGTTTACAGTATTGCAAGGGAAATTTCGTTGTCACTGGTAACAGGGCTTACTGGAGGAACTCTTTGCTCTTTAAATGAAAGTCGAACTTGCACAGTCCTATTTGTCCAGTAGGTCATGGGCAGTGAGACTCAGAGATCTGGGATCAACCTCTAGTTCTTACCTTTCCTTAACTATCGGACTGGAGAGAGCTACTCTATTTTTCTTGTTCTGTTTCTTCACTTACAGAGTGAGGACAGATATTTGACCTATTTCCCTTTGAGAACAAGAGAAACAGAGAGAAACATATGAAAACCTTCTGCAAACTACTGAAGTGCTATATAATTAAATCATGAGATTCATACTGCCATAATTTTTGTCTGAGGTTTACATCCAAAATGCTGCTGGTTCTCTTGTTCCTGGGCTCCATACCTTTGGTCCCAAACCTTAATGAGTTGGATTTTACTGAATTTTGTGTCTGGCATCCTTCTCTTTCCCTAGGCAGGAGCCCTACTTCATGTGTACACAGATGGCTCTGTGCTGCTGACCCACGGGGGGACTGAGATGGGCCAAGGCCTTCATACCAAAATGGTCCAGGTGAGCAGCCCTCTCTGGCAGTGTTGTGTCCGTTGTTAGAGGAAGTGGTATAAGAAATTGAGCAGTGGGACCTATCAGAGCAGAAGCAGGCCCGGGGTCTGGCCCTGGCCCTGTTGCTTATGTCCGTGTAGCCTCGGGCAAGTCTTTTCCCCCACTTGAACTCAGTTTCCTCATCTGTGCAAAGGAGTTGGCCAGGTGACCTCTGAGGACATTGCTATTACCAACATTCTCAGTGTGTGAGGCGGGCATGCTCTGTGTGTAAAGGTCGCGAGTTTCCCACATTCCAAGACTCCTCGGAGTGGAGTGAGGACAATGAGCTGGATTAGAGTCAGCACATCTGCTTGGCGCATGGAGACTGGCCAGATTGGATCTTTTGAAAAGTGAGTGTTAGTGTAAAAAGGCACTGTTTGTCAGTTTATGAATTTTTTATCCAACCGAACTCCACCAAGTGCTCCTTCAAATTCAGCCAGATGTAAGGACATCCCAGACAATGAGATTAGAGTTTACGAAATTGTTTTCTTGCCTGTAACAGTGAATGTGAATCCTGTCTTGGGGAGAAGGCAGCCAAGCCCCATGATAACCCCTTCCCTAGAGGGCAATGTCTTCTCTTTTCGCAGGTGGCCAGTAGAGCTCTGAAAATCCCCACCTCTAAGATTTATATCAGCGAGACAAGCACTAACACTGTGCCCAACACCTCTCCCACGGCTGCCTCTGTCAGCGCTGACCTCAATGGACAGGCCGTCTATGTAAGGAGCCCATGGGATCCCGCAGAGCAGAGGGCCAGCCCAGAGCTGTGGGCCTGGAGAGTCTCCCTGGGTGGGAGCTAGAAGGGTTCCTTGCAGGCTCTTTGGCTCTGGCCAGGCCTCTGGCTCCCTTATCCAGGAGGATGCTGTTTCTCCAAACCTCAAGCTAAAAGAGAGGCCCAAGAATCATAATCACTGCCCTCAAAGCTGGGAAGGATGAGTGCAGGATGGGGAGATGAGGATACCGAGGGAAAGCAGAGGCTTCTGGAATTACTCCCTGGTGCTGGAGCTAGCAATAGGACAATGGGCTGAAGCTGAAATTTGATTATAGAGGCAGGTTGGCCACACTGGCTCCTCTGCCATATGGGGGATATAATCAAACAAGCAGTTTGAGGGAAGAAGACACCTCTCTGGGGATCCCTCAAACATTTCGCCCTCTGTCAGCCTAAGAATTGAGTCAGGAAGTGCTCTCCAAGCAGGGACTAGTGGTGGCCCTATTGGCCAGGTCCTGTCGATTCTACCCTGGGCCTTGATCATTCTGGAGTGGGTGGCCAGGCTGTTTGAGTGGCACCCTGGGTACAGCATTGCTTGGAGGTAGCCTTGCTGGGGCCCTCGGGTTTTGCCTGGGCTACAGAATGCAGAGGACTGATGTGTCTGGGGTGTGGGGGGTGTTTACTTTAGGCGGCTTGTCAGACCATCTTGAAAAGGCTGGAACCCTACAAGAAGAAGAATCCCAGTGGCTCCTGGGAAGACTGGGTAAGTCTGAGCTGATCCAAGTCACGTTTGCAAAGGAGAGGGAAATTGACAGCAGGGCCTCCGTTCCGAATCCGAACAAGTAATAGGAGACAATATTTTAGTCAGAACAGCAGAGAGAAGTTGAGGTGGTTTGTGTGATTTTACAGGATGAATAAATGCTCATTCTGGCTGGGTCCCTTTCTCTATAGCTTTCATCATTGAGGGAGGTCATTTGAGGGAAGTTTTTGATCCAGGATCTTGACAGCCTTGTGGGAATCAGGGTTTTCTTTGCCTGAGCCTGAGAGGATGGGTGCCTGCTGAACATGCCTCATCGGATTGTCTTGACTCAGTGGGTCTGCTCCCACACCCCGCTTGTCCCAGATGAGCCTGGTTTTCCTCAAATCTCCATCTCTTGAGTCTGAGTCTACTGAGATTCCCTCTGTGACAGCGTGGGGAGAAAACATCACCCAAGGACTTCTATCATTCCTGTGATTTGGGGAATGACAGAACAAGCACTTATGATAAGAATGAGCCCAATTCTCTGACTTCTAGACCAGTGGCCTGAATGTCAGAAATCTCAGAGGGAAGGGGCAAGGGAGTCTCTTGCAGGCGGGAGGCTGTGGCTCCTCCAGCAAGTGGAAATATTAATGGCAGCTCTGCATCCTTCCCCAGTATTGGAGTGGTAGAACTGGGCAGAAGAGTAACACATCAAATGTGACTGCACATAAACCGGCTCACTAGAAATCTTCCTCAATAGATTTAAAGAAAACATGCCATTTTTCTCAGACCCACTCATCTTACTATGCCTTCTATGACCTCTCCATACCACGTGTACCAATAGCACATGAAAGTAGCCTGATTTTGGTAGTTGGGTTTTAGCATGGATTTATCAGGCAGTTTAAATGTTTTTAACAACAGTCCCGACAACAATGTTCTATCATCTGACCTGTGGATCTGAGCTTTGTCTTCAACCACCAGCCATGTAGACCAGTGTGCCTGGGAAACAGATAACCCCAATAAATGAACCACAGTCACCAACACATACATACACATGCGCATGTGCACGCACACACAAACGCACACAAGCATGCGTGCACACACACACATGCACACGCACATTATGTTAAATGACTAGTGCAGGTTTTAGGACCAAGTCTTTCCAAGCCTTAGTTTCCTCATCTGTAAAATGAGGCTAATAATAGTATAGGTTTTCTGGGGTTGTGAGTATAAGTAAGATAATGTATGCAAAGTGCTAAATAGCGCGTGTGACACAGTAAATCGTTTGGTGGCTGCTAATGAAGAAGGCATAAATTATATCAAGTACAACTTAAATCTGAGTCTGTGCTAGTGTTTGGGGATACCAAAAAAGCACATTATATAGTCCAAGGGATAGGATGGAGGGATAGTTTGATCAACAGGAAAGCATATGTAAAAGCACAAGGTGAACATGTGAAGTACCACATGAGCGCTATAGCGTGTTGCTTTTATAATGGCCAGTTAGGGAGAGTTCACCAAGGAGGGGAGAATGGAGGGCAAGTTTGAGTAGTTGTTGAGGGAAGAAAAGGATTTGCACATATATAGAAGAGGAACCACATAAATAAAGGTGCAGAGGTGTGGGAGATGGAAGAATTGAGAGAGATTTAGCTCTTGAGTGTGGCTGGGGTGGCCCTCGTGTGCTGCAAAATGCCAGAGAGACTGTGGTCCTTAACATCAGGCATTTGCTCTACAGGCAATAAGGAGCCGTGGAAAGCTCTAGAGTAGGGTAGTGACATGCACAGTGTGGTATGTTAAGATGGCCACTCTGGCTGGGCTGGGGAGACAACTCAAGGGAGGAAGACCAGTTAAGAGGTGACTACAGTGTTCCAGGCTTCAGATAATGAGGACCTGGTGCAGGTGGTGCCAGTGACAATGTAAGGTAAGGTATGGAAATGGGAGTCACTAGTAAAATGAGTTGATTGGCTTCCAGAGGAGGTGAGCTCCTGAAAGCTTAGTGGCAGGTCAGGGTTCCTGAAAACCTCACTTCACCTGCCTGATGGCCATCTCCTCTCCTCAGGTCACAGCTGCCTACATGGACACAGTGAGCTTGTCTGCCACTGGGTTTTATAGGTAAGTATGGTGTTGTCCTTGCCCAGCTCATAGTGTGATGTCGTCCTAACCTCACTGGTCCACTCCAGCACCGAATCCTGCCAGGCTGTGGTCAGGAGAGAGCAGCTCCACTTATCTCTTCAACAGACTTCCGCTAATTTCAGTCTAAAGATGCTCTAAAATATGTGGAATGGCCACACTGTGTGCCAAGGGGTAAAAGCACCAGCTGTGTGTCAGAAGACCCGACTTCTAGTTCTGGTCTCAGGGTGCACAATTTCACCAGAGGAAGTCAGTGGTCCTGCTGAACCTGTTCCCCTGTTTCCTCATGGGTGACGTATTGGGGCCAGTACCTAACCATTCCTCCCTCAGTGTTCTCCTGCAGAAACCAGGCTGTGTAGTGTTATGAGTTAGGCATTGCTGTTAGCTATGCATCCTTCTTTGTACTGTGTGTGGGACTTTTTTATAGAATGAGAGGAGGATTTAGAGCACGTGGTCTTATTACAAAATGCAGAATACAGTGGAAACTTATTAATACAGGGAGATTTTCAAGAGAGCGTATGACTTCTGCAACTTTAAATTTAGTAGCAGCGTGAATAGCTAGAGACCCTGCCCATCTGACTTAGCAGCTGTAAAAAGATATGATCATATTTACTGTCAGTCATCATATTTTAGCCGTCTCTGGGAAGTTTAGCTAGGACCTTTTCTTTCACAGATATTTGGAATATTTTCTTTCAATATATTTGGAAAATAATTCAATGTTTCTTTAAAATATCATGTCTGAATGTATGAATATATAGATGCATAAATATATATATGTATAAACATTTCTTTGTATGAAACATTTATTTTCCGTATGTATATGAATATATATATGAACATATATATGTTAGGCATATATATGTTTATACATATAAGGCATAAACATATATACACACAAAAAACATTTATATGCCCTATATATGAACATATATATGGCTAATATATATGTATAGATATTACACTGAATATATATGCCTTATACATATATGTATAAGACATATATCTGTATAAACATATGTACACACACAAAACATTTCTATGCCATATATATGAACATACATATGGCTAATATATGTATAGATATTACACTGAATATATATATGCCTTATATAAGGCATATATATATGCCTTATACATATATGTATGCTTTATATACATATATATAAGTATATAAGGCATATATATGTATTATACATATATGTATAAGGCATATATGTATAAACATATATACACAAAAAAACATTTCTATGCCATATATGAACATATATGTGGCTCATATATATGTATAGATATTACATTGAATATATATGTATAAGGCATATATATGTATAAACATGCATATATATATATATATATATATATATATATATATATATATATGGTGAAGAAATGTTTTGCCAATGCTTTCTAGGTTTTTAATATCTGACCTACACATACATAAACACATTTTCTCATAAATTCCTATTACATTTCTGGAGTTCATGAAACTAAGGTTTTATAAAGGTCAAAGCAGAGGAGCATGGTGAAAGCAGAGGTCAAAGGAATTGGTGGTGGTTTTTTCTGGGAGAAGCCTTTTCCCTCAGCCCCATATTGGTTTTGTTTTTGTGCAGATCTGGTCATATCAGCTCATGTTATTCCTGTGTAGTGTATAGAATAACACAGAGTCAGTGTACTGTAAACTCTAGGTGTGTGAATACACATGCACAAATGCATAGATATACACATATATTTATATGACTCAGGCAAAAGTGGAATTGTATAAGGTACTCCAGATTGAAAATTTTAAAAATGTATAAGGGAGCATTTGTTTCTATTCGTATCATTTCCCTCAAATCATTTGTTGAACTTTCAAAGGGACCAGCAGGTGGGGAGTGGCCGCTTAAAGATGCACCCAGGTTAGCATGAGATGCTGATCTTATTAACTTTCTCACCTTGAGAAGGTAAGCAGGAGAACTGTGTGAACAGTCTAAGAGCCACCACAGGCAGAACCTTCAGTCCTGAAGACCTTGGATTCTAATTCAGTACATCCTTTGGAGTGTGACTTTCATGTCCTTCGTGAGCCCAGATGGATCTGTTACCTCTCTTTCTACTGTGCAGAGGCTAGCATGGTACTAAACACTGCTAGGCTGTACAGAATGAGTACAGAAGGGCTACTGGCAAAATAGAGGAGGGCCCAGAGACAAAATGTTCTGGAATATCTGGGTTTCGTTAACAGGTTCAAATTGTTCAAACCATGGACTTTTTTGGAGAACAGCTGAATGCAAAAACTTGTGGGGTTTAAAGATGTTGTGGGTCAAGCTGTACGTGCATAGGGAAGGGGGTGTGTTCATGTTAATACATGTGCAGTACCTTCTCTTTCCTCTCCCAGAACACCCAATCTGGGCTACAGCTTTGAGACTAACTCAGGGAACCCCTTCCACTACTTCAGCTATGGGGTGGCTTGCTCTGAAGTAGAAATCGACTGCCTAACAGGAGATCATAAGGTAAGAAGTTTGCAAAACTTTAGTACTTAGTGGGAAAGAGAAGAGAAACAACTGAGTTGTAATACCTAGAGCTGATAGAGACAAGATTTCTGGTTGGAAAAATAATGCCTTCCATTAAGGATAGGCAAACATCCTATAAAGGGCCACAGAGTAAGTGTTTTAGACTTCGTGGGCCATACAGTCTCTGCCTCAGCTACTGAACTCTACCATTGAAGTGTGACAGCAGTCATAGACAGCTTGTAAACAGATAAGTGTGACTCTGTTCCAATAAAATATGATTTATAGACACTGAAATTTGAATTTGAATTGAATCTCATACAATTTTTACTTGTCACAAAATATTCTTCTTTTTATTTTTCCAGTTATTTAATAATGTAATTATTAGCCTACAGGCCCCACGAAAACAGGGGCAAGTTGGATTTAGCCCATGGAACGTAGTATATTGACTCTTTTGTACATGATCTACCCAGACTCAGATTCAAAGCCCCAGGTTTCTGGGACCCTATCTGACTACTCACGTATGAATGTGTGTTATTCCCAGTTACTGAGAGATCATTGCTGCTCCCCACTTCCTACCCGGCTGCTACAAACTCAGACTCCAGCGGGGATGGTGGCAGCAGAGATTTGGTGGGAACATCAACACTTCTGCCTGAGCACACCCAGGGCTTTCTGCTTGGGAACGTACTCTTTGGTTGGCACTTGTAGTCTGAGGGTCACTATGAGTCATCTGTCATATTCCAAACATCTTTTCCTCCTCTAACTTCTTGTAATTTTGCTGTCTACTCTAGAACCTCCGCACAGATATTGTCATGGATGTTGGCTCCAGTCTAAACCCTGCCATTGATATTGGACAGGTGAGGCTCAGTGGGACCAGGGTGGTGACAGACTTGGCCACCGATGCACCCCATTCCCCTCCTGGGGCCACCTGCCACAACATGTTGTCCAAGGTTGTCTTCAAACAGGCTGAAACATGGAACCTAGGGAGTTTCCCCCAAAGTAGAATTTAGATTGGTGATAGTCCAACCAACCCTCAAGGCAGAAAGCAAATTAATATGGGTCAACTTGGGAAGGGCACTCACAACTCAAAAACAAGATGAGAAATGAGGAAACATGGCATGCACATGTGAACATGCACACACACCCAATTTGAGTGTGAGCACAACGTAGAATGGGGATTGAGTTTGGGATCAATGCCCAGACAGTGGGGTCTGAGGTCAGAAGAGTTTTCTGTCTTCTCATTCCTCCTCCACCTAGGACAGCTTTTGTACCCCAGGAAGCAGATGCTGCCAAACATGGAGTGGTGGAAGGCCCTGGGAGCAAAACACAAAGGCTTAAGCAGAAGTAGTAAAGGGAGGTCCCAGAGAAAATCGCTTTAGGAGAATATGGGATTACTATGAAGAATAGGTGAAATAGGGCTGGGACCTGTGGCTCACACCTGTAATCCCAGCACTCTGGGAGGCCGAGGCAGGCAGATCACCTGAGATCAGGAGTTCGAGACCAGCTTGGACAACATGGCGAAACTCCGTCTCTATTAAAAATACAAAAATTAGCTGGGTGTGGTGGCATGCACCTGTAATCCCAGCTACTCAGGAGGCTGAGGTAGGAGAATTGCTTGAACCTGGGAGGTGGAGTTTGCAGGGAGCCAAGATCCCACCACTGTACTCCAGCCTGGGCGATAGAGCAAGACTCAGTCTCAAAAAAATAAATAAAATAAAATAAAGAATAGGTGAGATAGGAAAAAACAGAGGAGGAATCAAGAATTCAAGACTGAGCATCTGGTAGAAAATACAAATTGTACTTCTAAAAAATGGACAACTACTGAGTATACGAAAATCTGGCCATTAGTCAATCTGTTCATTAATTCATTGAACAACCATTTATGGTCCCCTACTGTGGCCAGGCACCAAGCCAGTACTGCAGACCCAAAGATGATTGCCAGTCGGTTTCTTTTCTGAATGCTCGTTGAGGTATGGTAGTGCCCCATGTCACGCTTCTGAGCAGGGGGCTGAGAGAGCAGATGTGTGGGCCTGTCTATCATGGCAGTTACCCTAGGAGAGACCTGTAAGCTGAACTGCAGTGGGGGCACTTTCTCCCAGAGGACAGGCAGGGGTGGGCGTTCAAAAAGGCTGGAGGTAAGTCTCAAAGAATCTACTATCGAATAAATCCTCCTGTGAGCTTGCTTCTTAGCTTTGGCTCACCATTTCCCCAGTAGCAACATGGAAGGAACATCTCCATCTGCACTGCGGCAGGTTGTAGTGGGAAACATGCCCACCTAGAATCACTGACCTTCCGTGTTAATGTCTTTGCTCTGCCTGAGCCAAAGCCTGGCAGAAGTCCGGATGGGTTATCCCAGGGCTGAGGCGGGAGCCAGGTAAGCAATAGAGGGCAGTTTTAGCTACATTCCAGGCCGCGCTGCAGTTGGCGCTTTGTGTCCATTGTGGCAAGTGGTATCTGTCCTCAGGGAAGAAGGTGGCAGGCTAACTGTGCTCTCCATCCATCCTGCAGGTGGAAGGGGCATTTGTCCAGGGCCTTGGCCTCTTCACCCTAGAGGAGCT